>NC_000020.11:2945122-3096638 GCF_000001405.40 Homo sapiens | reverse complement strand
TGCCTTGTTAAAACCGGAGCTCTCAGGTTGAATAAAAAATAAAATCTTTGCCGGGCGTGGTGGCTTACACGTGTAATTCCAGCACTTCCAGAGGCCAACACCGGAGAATTCCTTGAGGCTAGGAATTCGAGACTAGCCTGAGCAACATAATAAGATCCCATCTCTACAAAAACATAAAAAATAAAAATCAGCTGGTCGTGGCGGTCGGTACCTATAGTCCCAGCTACTTGGGAGGCCGAGGCAAGAGGATCAGTTGAACCCAGAAGTTTGAGGCTGCAGTGAGCTATGATTGCACCACTGCACTCCAGCCTGGGCAACAGAGCCTATCTCTAAAAAAACACACACTTACGCCTGTAATCCCAGCACTTTAGGAGCTGAGGTGGGTGGATCACTTGAGGTCAGGAGTTCAAGACCAGCCTGGCCAACATGGTGAACATGGCCATCTCTACTAAAAATACAAAAATTAGCTGGGTGCGTTGGCAGGTGCCTGTAATCCCAGCTACTTGAGAGGCTGAGACAGGAGAATTGCTTGAACCTGGGAGGCAGCGGCTGCAGTGAGCTGAAAAACACACCACTGCCCTCCATCCTTGGCAATACAGCAAGACTCTGTCGCAAAAAAAAAGAAAAGAAAGAAAGAAAGAAGATGAAATGTAATAAAGGTATAAATCAGTGAAACAAACACTATGGAGATTCAACACAACCAGAGGTTGGTTCTTTAAAACAATCACATAAAAGGAGTCGGGTGCAGTGGCTCACGCCTGTAATCCCAGCACTTTGGGAGGCTGAGACAGGTGGATCATTTGAGGTCAGGAGCTCGATACCAGCCTAGCCGACCTGGTGAAACCCCATTTCTACTGAAAATAAAAAAATTAACCGGGCAGTAGTGGCACATGCCTGCAATGCCAGCTATTCCGGAGGCTGAGGCAGGAGAATTGCTTGAACCCAAGAGGCAGAGGTTGCATGAGCTGAGATCACGCCACTGTACTCCAGTCTGAGCAACAGAGTGAGACCCTGTCTCAAAAGAAAAAAAAAAAAAATCACATAAAAGGCACCAACAGAGAAGACCCGGCAGCACTGCCTGGAATTGGCGTACCCTTGGGGGCTGGGGACAACGGTGTGTCACTCGGGGGAGTGGACAAAGGTGAGAGTTAGCAGGGCCAGACCTGCAGGCCTGTTGGACATGTCTGGGCATTGTCCAGAGGGCAATGGGGAGCCATGGACAGGTTTTGAGCGGGAAGTGGCATGGTCAGTCAGGGAGGCAGGATGGGATGGCTCTGAAGATAACCTGGGGCCAAGCCCAGGCATGTGAGGCAGGCCAAGGCACTGGGAGGCCAGGGGCAGGCTGGGGCAGGGAGCTTGGGAACCAGGACTGATAGGCTCCTCGCTCAGTAGTTCTGCCCGGCTTAGCTGTGTGGTCCCGGACAAGCCACGGGGTCTCTCTGTGCCACAGGGTCCCCACAAGTGAAGTGATCTGTACAAGTCTACCAATGCCTTCCAGCCTGGGGCCGGGGACAAATACCCCAGTTACTGACCCAGCAGCCAGTCCCGTCCCTCCTCTTCCTCACCAACAGGACCCCATTTTGTCAGGGGCCTGTGAGCACACCTAATCTTAGGGGTGAGCTTTGGCTGGCCTAACCCAAAGAAGGCAGCCGGCTAGTGGTGCTTGTCCAGTCTGGAGGGATTTAGGGGTGGGGACTCTGGGCAGGTTTCTCCTCCCTGAGAGCGGAGAGGCTCAGAAGAGGGAACCCATTTTGTGGCTGTCCCCTTGCCACAAGGAGGGACACTCAGACATGTGGAGGGTACCAGACAGGAGTGGGGAAGCCCTAGATGCCATCCCTGAATTTCAGCCAGGCCTGGGACCACCCACTTCCCAACTTGAATTATAGTAAATTACAAATGTCTTTGGGGTTTAGTCACTGCTATTTTATTTTGTTTATTTTATATTTTATTATTATTATTTTTTATAAGACAGGGTCTGACTGTGTCACCCAGGCTGAAGTGCAGTGGCACGATCATAGCTCATTTCAGCCTCCGGTTCCTGGGCTCAAGCCATCATCCTGCCTCTGCCTTGCTAGTAGTTGGGACCACCGGCATGCACCCCCAAGCCCAATCTTTTTTTTTTCCCCTTCAAAGATGGGTTCTGACCATGTCACCCAGCCTGGAGTGCAGTGGCTATTCACAGGCAGGATCCCACTACTGATTAGCACAGGGTTTTCACCTGCTCCATTTCTGATCTGAGTCGGTTCACCCCTCCTTAGGCAACCTGGTGGTCCCCTTGCACCCGGGAGGTCACCATGCTGATGCTGAACTTAGTGCAGACGCCAGCTAGGCATAGCCCACGGCAGCCCAGGCAGGAGTGCAGTGGCGTGATCATGGCTCACTGCAGCCTGTACCTCCTGGGCTCAAGCATCCTCCTGCCTCAGCCTCAGGAGTAGCTGGGACTCCAGGCGCGTGCCCCAGCACCCGGCTCTGCTAGGGTTTTGTGGCAGTAGCGTGGTGAAGGGCACAGACCCTGGAGCCTGAGTTTGAATCCCAGGTCTGCTGTTTATCACTTGTTCGTTGAATAACTTGGGCAAGTTATTCAACCTCTCTGCCCCTCAGTTTCCTGTCTGCAAATAGAGATAAAAATACTTCCTCCTTCACAGGGTTTATGTGATTCAAGGAGGAAAATATACGTAAAAGGCTTAAAACAGTGATGCTGGCACACACTCCTTTTTTTTTTTTTTTTTTTTTTGAGACAGAGTTTCACTCTTGTTGCCCAGGCTGGAGTGCAGTGGCGCAATCTCGGCTCACTGCAACAGCCGCCTCCCTGGCTCAAGCGATTCTCCTGCCTCAACCTCCCGACTAGCTGGGATTACAGGCGCCTGCCACAACGGCCGGCTAATTTTTGTATTTTTAGTAGAGATGGGGTTTCACCATGTTGGCCAGGCTGGTCTTGAACTCCTGATCTCAGGTGATCCACCCGCCTTGGCCTCCCAAAGTGCTGGGATCACAGGCGTGAGCCACCGCTCCCGGCCCCACACTCTGTGTTTTTATTGCCAGTGGTTTAGCACGTTCGTAGGCCACGCGTCCTGTATGACGTCCCTACCACACACACGCGCGCACACGCACACACAGCTGGGTTCTCTCTTTCACATCCCTGCACAAGCTGTTTATCCCTCCAGGTGTGTCCTCCCCGTCTCCTTTTCCGGGGAATTTCAGTCCCCAGCCACAGGCAACGAGTACACCCCGTAGAAGCCCACCCCGCGCGGCGGCCTATCCTGCCCACTCGCCCCAGGACCCCTCCGCCGGCCCGCGCGCCCCAGGTTGGAGGGGTGAGGTGGGGTCTCTCTGGGCGGAGGTGGAACTCTCAATTGGCAGCCTAGGGCGAGGCTCACACGTGGACCCCCGGACCACCACGCGCCTGGCAGCGCGGCCTCTCTGCGCTGGTTTCCTTCACCGGCGAGCGGCGCCGCTGGGCCTGGGGCCTGGGGCTCAGACGGGGCCCTGCCGGGCAGGCGGAAGGGCGAGCGTGCAAGCCGGGGCCGCCTCCGCTGCAGCCCCCTCCGCTGCCGCCTGGATCGGCCGCTTCCCCCTCCCAGCCGCCCGGATCGGCCGCTTCCCCCTCCCAGCCGCCCGGCTGATGGCGCTAAGTGATTCCGGGCACCGCGCTCCGGGGTGGCGCCGACCCGCGGGGCCCTGGGGGCCGCCGGAGCCGTGCTCATGCTGCTCTTAGCAGTCTGCGCACAGCGCGCCTCATTAGGGGCCGCCGGGCCGACGGGGACGTGCGCCCAGCGCTGCGCCTCCCAATCTGTGCTCGACCCCGGCCCCCGAGCTTCCGCGCCCTCGGGTCCCCGAGGCCCGCGCTGTTTCCTGTCTCTCCTGGTGACTTCACTCTTCATCTCAGCACCCGCGGGTGTCTGGCTGCGTGGGGGCTGGGAGCGCGGACAGGCCTAGCTCTTCCTTAAGTCTAGCAAAGGGAACGTCTGTGGGACCCCAGGGCCGCAGTCATTGTCCCCGGCGGGTGCGACAGGCCACGTCACTTGGAACACGGAGCTAGGGTTGAGCGTCTCTAGATGCGAGTCTACAGGTCTTGCTGCCGTACAGGTTTTCCATATAGAAACGAGTTTGTCAAAAATATTTTTCTTCGTTTATTTTGCCTTTTACTTAGGTTATTTTTGCAAGTTAAAGAATTTTTATTGTCTTTTCATTTCTGATTTCTTTTAAAAGTTTAATGTAACCCCCCTCTAGAGATACGATAAATATTCAGACCTGGCTTCCCGCATCCCCTCCCCGCCGCTCCCCGGCCCTCGTCAGCTGATTTTTTTTTGAGACGGAGTCTCACTCTGTCGCCCAGGCTGGAGTGCAGTGGCGCGATCTTGGCTTACTGCAACCTCCGCCTCCTGGGTTCAAGTGATTCTCCTGCCTCAGCCTCCCAAGCAGCTAAGACTGCAGGCGCGCACCACCATGCCCAGCTCATTTTTTTTTGTATTTTTGGTAGAGACGGGGTTTCACCATGTTGGCCAGGATGGTCTTGAACTCCTGACCTCGTGATCTGCCCGCCTCGGCCTCCCAAAGTGTTGGGATTACAGGCATGAGCCACCGCGCCCAGCTTGTCGGCTGATTTTATTCTATTTAGCTCTTCAATCCAGCTGAGATGTGCCTTGGTCTGGAAAGAGCAGAAGGCCTCCCCCGCCCTTTTTTACTTGGTCCTGCAGTGGATCCATTTCAGTTCCATACCTGTCCCCTCAGGCTCAGCATTTTTCTCAGAGGTTTCTCATCCCTGCTCAATGTATCCTCTTTGATTCAATTCAGTAAGCAGGTCTTGGGCTCCCACAACATCTTTTGTTTGCTCTTGTTCCCCTCTTCATAGTTTACAGAGCATTTGTGTGGGTCCTCAAAAATACTACTGGAGGCTGGCGCCGTGGCTCACACCGGTAATCCCAGCACTTTGGGAGGCAGAGGTAGGCGGATCACTTGAGGTCAGGAGTTCGAGACCAGCCTGGCCAACATGGTGAAAGCCCATTTCTACAAAAAATACAAAAATTAGCCAGGCATGGTGGTGAGCATCTGTAATCCCAGCTACTAGGGAGGCTGAGGCACGAGAATTGCTTGAACCCGGGAGGCGGAGGTTGCAGTGAGCCAACAGGTGAAAAGAGAGAAAGCTGGACTTACTGCTACCAGCAGTGTTCTTTTGAAAATGAAGCCAGCTAGGCACGGTGGCTCATGCCTGTAATCCCGGCACTTTGGGAGGTCAAGGTGGGCACATCATTTGGGCTCGGGAGTTTGAGACCAGCCTGGGGAAAATGGTGAAATCCTGTCTGCACAAAAACAAAGATTAGCTGGGCATGGTGCTGTGGTTCCAGCCACTCGGGAGGCTGAGGTGGGAGGATCACTCTTAAGCCCAGGAGGTAGAGTTTGCAGTGAGCCATGATCGCACCACTGCACTCCAGCCTGGGCGACAGAGCGAGACACTGTCTCAAAAAAAAAAAAAAAAAAAAAGAAAAAGAAAAAAAGAAAAGAAAAGAAAAAGAACATGAAGCCAATGGCCAGGCACAGTGGCTCACGCCTGTAATTGCAGCACTTTGGGAAGCCAAGGTGGGAGGATTACTTGGGACCAGGGGTTTGAGACTAGCTTGGGCAACACAGTGAGACCCTCATCTCTACAAAAAAAAAAAAAAAAAAAAAAAAAATTAAAAAGGAAAAAAGATAGAAAGAAAATGAGGCCATGCCCTCTCTGGCAGTAGTGGAGATGTTCTATGGTATATACAGCAGGGGAATAAGAAACAGAAGGTGTGGGCAGGGCAGATGCTCTGCTAAGATTAGTTAACTGTTACTTCTTCTCAGAAAAGGTGGTCTAAGGGTAAGGAAGTACTTTATAGAACATTCTGACATTTGGGGTTTCATCTGGAGGCTTGCCACGTTTTATTATGTAAGGATTGCAGAAATCTTAACCCTTTATGGCACCCTCATCTGATTCCCTTAAGACCTCAGTGGGACAGGAAGTGGGGTTAGTACTTCAAGTAAATAACCTTGGGAACAGGTGTGACTTGCCCTGGGTCACACAGAACTCCCTGGAGAGCTGAAGCTGGTACCCAGAGCTTCCCTTCCTTCTTTCCATAATTTATTGAACACCCTCTACCTGGAGTGGGGTTACCGTACTGAGCATGAAAGGTAGAGTCCTTCCTTTCTGCCCTGGTGTTTCATTTTAAAGGGGTTATAGGCATACACACACAAAAAGATAGACACACAAAAAATGAATTGTGAATTGCAGTAGGTGCTATGAAATTCATCAACATAGTCCCAGACAGAAGATAACAGAGATGGGGGATGCTCTAGATAGGGCAGTCAGGGGAGCCTCCTCTTAAGAGATGCCATTTAAACCAATCAAATGAATCCTGGGGAGGGTGCGGGTAGAGGAATCTTCCAGGACACGGAAACAGCAGGATCTCAGATCCCAAAGCAGCAGTTGGAGTTGAGACTGATTTTAGAGGTAACATAAGCAACAGTGAGGGAAAGAGAAGACCCAGGGTGAGTCTCAGGTTCTGGGAGGAGCAGCTGGTTGGATGGTGGTAAGATCACACAGGTGGGAACCCTGGAAGAGCAGGGAAACAGCTGAGAATCTGGAGTTGCGTGTTGACTTTGTTAAGTTGGAGAAGCCTATTGGATATCCAATGTGAGGTGTCACTGGGCAGTTGAAACTATAAGTCTGGCTCTTTGGGGAGAGGCCCAGGATGGAAATACCAGTTTGGGAATTATTAGCTTGTAGTAAGTATATAAAATTGTGGGATCACCCAGGAAGAGAAGGGACACAGGACTGATTCCTGGGATGCTCCAACGTTTAGAAGTCAAGGTCAAAGAGAAGGAGCCAGAAACGGAGACAGAGAGAACACCCGGTGTAACAGAAGGAAAACCAAGAGAGTGTAGCATCGGTGGAACCAAACAAAGTGTGTTTCAGAAAAGGATAAGTGTGGCCGGGCGCGGTGGCTCACGCCTATAATCCCAGCCCTTTGGGAGTCCGAGGCAGGCAGATCATGAGGTCAGGAGATCGAGACCATCCTGGCTAACACGGTGAAACCCCGTCTCTACTAAAAATACAAAAAATTAGCCGGGCGCGGTGGCGGGCACCTGTAGTCCCAGCTACTCGGGAGGCTGAGGCAGGAGAATGGCATGAACCCAGGAGGCGGAGCTTGCAGTGAGCGGAGATCACACCACTGCACTCCAGCCTGGGCGACAGAGCAAGACTCCGTCTCAGAAAAAAAAAAAAAAAGAAAAGGATAAGTGTTCACCCATGTCAAATGCTGCTAGATCATGTGAAATAAGGACATAGACATCACCACCACATTTTTCGTTTTTTTTTTTTTTTTTTTTTTTTTGAGACGGAGTCTTGCTCTGTTGCCCAGGCTGGAGTGCAGTGGCACGATCTTGGCTCACTGCAACCTCCGCCTCCTGGGTTCAGGCGATTTTCCTGCCTCAGCCTCCCGAGTAGCTGGGATTACAGGCAGGTGCCACCACGCCCGGCTAATTTTTCTATTTTTAGTAGAGACGAGGTTTTACTATGCTGGCCAGGCTGGTCTCGAACACCTGACCTCGTGATCCACCGGCCTCGGCCTCCCAAAGTGCTGGGATTACAGGTGTAAGCCATTGCGCCCAGCCGACCACATTTTTCAATATGGAAGTAGTTTAACACCTTGACAACAGGAGTTTCAATGGGCTGGTTTGAGCAGAAGCCCAGGTGGAGGGAGTTGAAGAATAAATGTTGACTTCTGGATAAATGGCAGGTGGAGTGAGACCCCATCTCTAAAAACAAAAACAAAAACAAAAACAAAAACAAAGGGCAGATGGACCACAAATGAAAAACCAAGATGACCACTAACTCCAAGGAATACAAAAAGTTGTTCACAGATAGAAAGATCATCATAATATACTACGTGGCTTAGCTCAGAGGGCAGAATTGCAATCTAACTTGTAATACTGATCTATCATAACGTCATTGTATTTAGAAAATGGTGGATGAAGGGTATACATCAGGGGAGGGGGAAGGAACTGGTGAAGGAGCTGACTCCTTTCTTTTGGAAGGATGAATGAATCAGGATCATGAGCTGAGATGTAGGAGATAAAAGGACCGAGAAGATGTAAAAAGTAGATTGGGAAAGGAAACCTGTAAGGGACGTGTAGAAGGGTGTGCAGTGTCTGGGGGGTCCATGTGACATATGGGGTGATGTGTTGGAAATGCAGCCAGTCAGCACAGGATAGAGACTTTTCCCAGTCAGCCAAGGTTCCGAGAAGGTAGGTCCTGGGAGAAAGGGGCCTCGGTGTGGGAGGCCGGTCTTAGAATGAAGATCCTGGTAGACAGATCTGGTCAGCACAGAGGTCCTGGCTGTCCCATGGCTTGGGCCCTTCAGTCAGTCTGGCCTCATCCGTTTTCAGTTGTTGACTCAACCCCCTGCAGTGAAGAAGGGGTAAGGTGCTGGGCCAAGGCGCCTTAGCCAGGCCTCCAGCCTCTCTCCTCAGCTAGCCTCACAACCCACAGAGTCTCAGCGGGGCAACGGCCTCAGACCAAGCTTGTTTCCAGGCCAGGAGTAGAATGAAAATGTTCCTCCTAGACTAATCCAGGAAGCTGCTCTCTCTGGAAAAATCTCCTAGCTCTTAACAAGAATAATGGCATTGGCCAGGCATGGTGGTTCATGCCTGTAATCCCAGCACTTTGGGAGGCTGAGTGGGGTGGATCACCTGAGGCCAGGAGTTTGAGACCAGCCTGGCCAACATGGTGAAACCCTGTCTCTACTAAAAATACAAAAATTAGCTGGACGTGGAGATGGGCGCCTGTAATCCCAGCTTCTCAGGAGGCTGAGGCAGAAGAATCGCTTGAACCTGGGAGGCAGAGGTTGCAGTGAGCCAAGATCGCGTCACTGCACTCCAGCCTGGGCAACAAGAGCAAAACTCCATCTCAAACAAAACAAAACAAAGAATAATGGCATTACTAATGCAATACTACTGTTCATTAACTTTACAATGCTGCAGCCCCCTTTTTCTTTTTTTTGAGACGGAGTCTCGCTCTGTCGCCCAGGCTGGAGTGCAGTGGCGCGATCTTGGCTCACTGCAAGCTCTGCCTCCCAGGTCCATGCCATTCTCCTGCCTCAGCCTCCTGAGTAGCTGGGACTACAGGCGCCCGCCATCACACCCGGCTAATTTTTTTTTTTTTTTGGATTTTTAGTAGAGACGGGGTTTCACCATGTTAGCCAGGATGGTCTAGATCTCCTGACCTCATGATCCGCCTGCCTCGGCCTCCCAAAGTGCTGGGATTACAGGCATGAGCCACCGCACCTGGCCACATGCAGGCACTTTTCTAAAGCTACTTTTTCTTTTGAAACAGTGTCTCACTCTCACCCAAGCTGGAGTGCAGTGGCTCAGGTATGGCTCACTGCAGCCTGGGCTCAAGCAATTCTTCCACCTCAGCCTCCCGAGTAGCTGGGACCACAGGCATGCACCACCACACCTGCCCAATTTTTAAATTATCTGTAGTGATAAGGTCTATGTTGTCCAGGCTGGTCTCGAACTCCTGGGCTCAAGTGATCCTTCTGCCTTTGCCTCTCAAAGTGCTGGGATTACAGGTGTGAGCCACCGTGCCCAGCCTTAAAGCTGTTGTTTTTTTTTTTCAATTTAAAATGTATTTATAGGCCGGGCGCGGCGGCTCACACTTGTAATCCCAGCACTTTGGGAGGCCAAGGCAGGAGGATCACAAGGTCAGGTTCAAGACCAGCCTGGCCAACATGGCAAAACCCCATCTTTAGTAAAAATACAAAAAAATTAGCCAGGCGTGGTGGTAGGCGCCTGTAATCCCAGCTACTTGGGAGGCCGAGGCAAGAGAATCACTTGAACCCCGGAGTTGGAAGCTGCAGTGAGCTGAGATCACGCCACTGCACTCCAGTCTGGGTGACAGAACGGGACTCTGTCTCAAAAAAAAAGTATTTATTTATTTATTTAAAATTAGAGATGGGGCCGAGCACGGTGGCTCATGCCTGTAATCCCAGCACTTTGGGAGGCCGAGGCGGGTGGATCACTTGAAGCCAGGAGTTCAAGACCAGACTGGCCAATATGGTGAAACCCCATTTCTACTAAAAATACAAAAATTAACCTGGCGTGGTGACGCGTGCCTGTAATCCCAGCTACTTGGGAGGCTAAGGCAGGAGGATCGCTTGAACCCGGGAGGTGGAGGTTGTACTGAGCCGAGATTGTGCCACTGCACTCCAGCCTGGGTTGACAGAGTGAGACTCTGTCTCAAAAAAAAAAAAAAAAAATAGAGATGGGGTCTTGCTATGTTGCCGAGACTGGTCTCAACCTCCTGTCTGGGTCTCCCAAGTAGCTGGGATTACAGGCATAAGCTGCCATGCCTGGCTCTAAAGCTTTTGTATAATAAATTATTTATTTCTGTCCTCACATTGACCCTAGGAGGTGGGTACCATGATTTTCCTTACTTCACACTGGCAGAAAGTAAGGCACAGAGAAGTCCAGTGAGCTGCCCAAGCCATGAAGTGTCGAGCAACAGAGGCCAGACCCTGAGCCAAGCTATTGGGAGCCAGTGTTCCTGCAATAACAACTGCCCAGTGTTGCCTCTCAAAGGGTCCTTGCAGTCCCTGAGGGGTCATTCCTGAAAAGACCGACGCCATGGCCTGAGTATAGGAGGCCCCTCCTGGGTTGCTGGCCCCCTCACTGCCCTTGCTGGAGATGGGGCTGCTGTGTCCCCTGGAATTTCCTCGCAGCACCTCTATGCACCCTGGAGAGGAGGCCAAGAGCCTGTGGGAACTGCGAGAGCTGGGGACTGCGCACAGCTTGAGAGGCAGGGGGTACCGGGCCTGAACCCCAGACCAGCGGGGCATTCTGGTGGCCCAGGGAGAGAGGCCATGTCCTCTTTAGACCTGCCACCTTGGGATTAGGGACCAAAAGTGGCTTTCTCAGGCTGGGTCCATTTAGGTATGGCTCCTCCTGCACCTTCCCCCAGGCCCAGACACCCCCCACCCCCGGCTCTCCCACCCCAGGCCTGAGATGTACCTGCCCTGGTTGCCACATACTAAGGTCCTGGTGGGGGTAGGAATTGGGACAAACTGTTGTCAGGTTTCCTGGGGCTCCCCCCGCCTTTGAACCTTACTTGGCATGGAGTTCTTTCTCCCCATAGTAGCTCTCCACACTCATGTTTCTACCTGGGAGGGGGTGACGGGTCATGTGCCAATGTGTCCCCAAGGCCCCCAGTTTCAGGGCCTGAGTCCCCATGCCCTGCTCTATGGGGGTGCGGGGGTGTCATGTCTTGCACTTTCCCCAGCAACCTGCCACCCCCCTACCCTGTGAGAACAAGCCCCTCTCATTCTGTGTCCCTTGACTCCACGACGGCGGCTGCCTTGTCCACGAGGCAGGGATTCTCATCTCTGGTGCAGCCCCTGTCCTCACCACTCTGGGCTTGTGCTGTTCTTGGTCCCTTATCTTGTTGTCACAGGGCTAACCCTCCCCACACACCTGGCTGTCCCCTGCCCCACAGCTCCTAGGCCAGGGCCTGTCCCTGCCCCTAACACGCAGCCCCTCGGTTCCTCTTACCCTCTTCTTGGACCCTACGCCATTTCTGGGTAATCAGAAAGCTCAGAGATGGTCTCCAGGTGACCCCCCAGTCTGTCCCTCTCCCTGAATCCAGAGCGCTGCAGTCACAGTAGAGGCAATTGCTGTCATTCCGCGGCCCATGACAGCCTGGCGGCCCGTACCCCTCCCCTATGATCCCCTGCACAGACAGGCCCACGTGTGTCCCCAGATGCCTGAATCACTGCTGACGGCTGGGGACCTGGCGGCCGTGGGCTCCTGGGGAGCCACTGGGGAGGGGGTGGCGGCCGCGTCTCGCCTCCACGGGAACACCTGCGGACATAAATAGGCAGCCAGCAGAGGCAGCAGCACAGAGCCACCAAGCAGTGCTGCATACGGGGTCCACCTGTGTGCACCAGGATGCCTGACACCATGCTGCCCGCCTGCTTCCTCGGCCTACTGGCCTTCTCCTCCGCGTGCTACTTCCAGAACTGCCCGAGGGGCGGCAAGAGGGCCATGTCCGACCTGGAGCTGAGACAGGTACTTCCCACTGTGGGCCATCTCAGGGCTGCCATAGCGGGCAGTGCTGACACCCTGGGTCAGGGGCTAGGAAAGAGGGAAGTCATGGGTGGTGGTAGCCTTTAGGGGAAGTTCGGGGGAGGAAGAGGGAGGCATGGCATGGCTGGGCAGAGGAGCCAATGGGGTGGGCCAGAGGGGACCAGGCTTTGGAGGAGGCTGGGAGAGGCTGAAGGCGCTCCTGGTCACTGTCGCCATCCAGACAGGGATGCAGGGAAATGAGGGATGCTTCCCCGGTGACTGGGCTTGGGGCTGGATAGGGAGAACGGGGCATCATGGCCTCCCCTGTGCCCATGGCGTTCTTGCATCTGGACTGGCTGGGGCAGCAGAGGCTCCATCCTACCTAGCATTGGAGGCTTTCCTCATCCAGCCCCAGCCTCCCAGCCACAGGCGCCCAGGCCCCCACACAGAAGATGGCCACTGGTCTGAGCGCGCTTGAGTGGGGCATCCTGTGGGGAAGTTCTGCTGGGAACCTGGCCTAATTCTATAGTGCTGGACGTTTCCTCCATTTCCAGCAGAGCTGAAGGAAATCCAATCACGATGTGCATGCAATTCTGTCCAGGCTCAATGATGAGCCCTTGAGCAAATTAGACCACACCAGGCTCAGCTAAAAGTCTAATGCGCTATCCATTGCGCCAGAGAACCGGCTGTTGAGCAGATGAGAGTGGCCGCTCGGCAACCCCCGCAGCCTCTCTTCCTCCTGCTAGGCTCCTTTAGGGTCCTGAGGCACCTGGGTGTCCGTGCTCGCCTCTAGGTCTCAGGCCCCTGCCACCCACCTGATAGGTCATAGGTGGCTGAGCAGGGGTCAGGGCTCCAGCTGAGGCCGACAAGCTTGGCGGGGGCCAGGGGCAAGGCAAGAGAGGAGACAGGAAATGGGAAGGGCCGGGGTTCTGGATGGGTAGGGCCTCTCCGCATGGTGTAGTGGGGAAGGGGGTGGGCCCGGGCTCAAGCCGCAGCAGGGCGAGGAGGAAGGAGGAAGGGTCTGGAGTGGTGGAGGGTGGGGCAGCTGCAACAGTGGCGCCCACCAGCGATGACCCCGAGGCTCGAGGAAGGGTTCCCCACGCTGTAGTCCACGGGAGACCCGTCCCTAGCTGAGGGTGAGGACGCTGAGGGCTGTCACCGAGAGGTCATCCAAGAAACCAAGGTGCCGAGCAGATCTGGACGCCCCGCCCGTGACCGCGGTCGAGGCCCAGTGGCGCCCGAGCGTGCCTGCAGCCGCAGCCCCGGTGTCCCGCCCGCACTCCGAGCCCTGGACCCCAGCATCCCCGCCTCGCTGCGTTCCCCTCCAACCCCTCGACTCCCGGCTCCCCTCCTCCCGCTCACCCCGCCCGTCCCCGCAGTGCCTCCCCTGCGGCCCCGGGGGCAAAGGCCGCTGCTTCGGGCCCAGCATCTGCTGCGCGGACGAGCTGGGCTGCTTCGTGGGCACGGCTGAGGCGCTGCGCTGCCAGGAGGAGAACTACCTGCCGTCGCCCTGCCAGTCCGGCCAGAAGGCGTGCGGGAGCGGGGGCCGCTGCGCCGCCTTCGGCGTTTGCTGCAACGACGGTGCGCGGCGGGGGCGGGCCTGGGGCTGGGGGGGGCGCAGACCGCTTGGGTGGGGGGGACGCGGGCCTGCGGCGGGGTGGGGGCTGCGTCGGGCCCGGCAGGGAGGGTGTGGGCCCCCCGCACCCCGAGCTGCGCCCGCCCCAGGGCGCCCGTGCTCACACGTCCTCCCGGCAGAGAGCTGCGTGACCGAGCCCGAGTGCCGCGAGGGCTTTCACCGCCGCGCCCGCGCCAGCGACCGGAGCAACGCCACGCAGCTGGACGGGCCGGCCGGGGCCTTGCTGCTGCGGCTGGTGCAGCTGGCCGGGGCGCCCGAGCCCTTCGAGCCCGCCCAGCCCGACGCCTACTGAGCCCCGCGCTCGCCCCACCGGCGCGCTCTTCGCGCCCGCCCCTGCAGCACGGACAATAAACCTCCGCCAATGCACGGCCTCGCGTCTGTCTCAGTCTCTGGCGGGAAGAGGGAAAGGGAGAGAGGTGGGAGCGCGGACCCCCGCCACCACGCCCACCGGCCAGTCCCCGGACCTGAGGTCGTGGGCAGATCCACCCCAGAGAAGCAACAGGTCCCGTAGAGGAAGCGATCTGGGACCCGCAGAGGTGTCGCTAGACCGAGGGACAGGGCGAATTGGGAGGCAGGGGAGGGGGAGACCAGAGGCCGAGAGTGGCCTTGGAGGGGGTGGGTTGAGGATCCTCCGGCAGAGGGAAAGAAGTAAAGGCAGAGAGGGAAAGGCCTGGAGGACAAGACAGCAAGAGACCCAGAGACAGAGACAGCAGAATGTTGGAGAGAGATGCAGAGACATTGACAGTGACGGAGAGAAGAGTGAGAGAGGCAGAGGGGACAGGCCGAGGGGTGACCATTCTGTCCCCATTTTCATCCCAGGAGACTGAAACACAAACCGCTCAGGGACCCACCCTGGTCCCGGGATTCCCAGTGCAATGTCTGATTCACCCAAGGCAGTGCTCGTGTGTAGTGGCGGTGGGGACATCACTGTCTGTCCAGTGCACCCACCATTAGGGCCCCTCAGCCAGAGTGGGGGACCCCTAACAGATACAGCCCCACACAACCCCAAGCACGCTTGGACAGAAACAGACAAGAAAATAACTGCTAAGAACGTGTCCGCAACCCTTGACCACAACCACAGAGACCCTGAGCCCCACATTCAGAGCCACAGACACCCAGAGAAACACAGACACAGCCGACACGAGGATGGGCAGGAGCATGTATGTACAGGCTCACACAAGCAGGAGTGCACTCACATTAGCTCCCAGACATGAAGACCTTCCGCCCTTTGACATGAGCCCCTTTGGCGAAAAGACGTCCAGCAGTGCTCGGCCTCTTCCTCTGCATCCCTTGGGTTCTCTCACCCCCTTCTTGAACCTGAGGCCTTTCTGGTCCCATCTGCCCCTTTCTCTCCTTTGTCTCTCACTCTGCTCTCGCCTCCCTGTTCTGCCAGCTCCTGGGCCCCCTCTTGCCTCTCTCCTTGGCCCCTCCACCCCTCCCCTTCTGTCCCCTCACCCCCTCTGCCACCTCCCATCCTTCTCTCTCTTGGCCTCCTCTTTTCTCTGCATCCTCTCCTTGGGCTTCCTGCTCCAGGTCTTGGAGCCACAAGAGGCTGCATCTCCTTCGGGATCCTCCGCAAACTCTGAGGTCAGGAGGGAGTGCAGGAGGAGGGAAGTCCGCCTGGGCCCTGACCCCAATGCCCAGGCTTACGGCCAAGCCTGGTGACTCAAGCAGCCCAGCCTCAGCAGCCCTGGGCAGAGTCCAGGCACATGTCAAGGTCAGGCTCTCTTCCACACTCCCAGGGCTCCCCTTGGCTCTCACCCCTGACCTGGTTCTGGGCTCCTCTGCCAGGCAGTGCCCGGCACGACTGGGTCTAGCCAGTGGGGACAGGGACCATGCAGGCTTGGGTCACTGCCATGACCTCCTGCTCCTGTTTCATGTTGTCCACTCAGGGCCATCCCCCATCTGGCTGGGGCTAGAGCAGGACCAAACCTAATAGGAATTTATTAACTCTTCCAGACTGGGAAATAGGAAGAGGCAGGTGGCTTGGCTGCACTGAATTCAATCCAAAGTGTTAGTGTCTGGACTTGGGGACAGTTTTAGAATGAGGTCCAGGAACTTCCTCTTCCTAAATACAGATTCAGAGACTCCTTTCCCTCCACTTGTCTTTGTCAAAACAATCAGGCTACTATTTCTTGGAAGGGGTGACGAATGTCTGCCCACCCCCAATTTGCCCAAATGTCCACCTCCCTGTACAGTCTTTCACTCTTTCTCCCTCTCCTTGAGTCCCCTGGCCCAGCTACAGAGCCATTTAGCAAGGAGAGGTCTGCCCTTGTCTGCTCAGTCTCTACAGGGCAAATGGGCTGCGGCAAACCCACCACAAGGGGCAAAGCAGTGTCCAAGCCTCCACATCTGCTGTTTCATAAAAATGGTAACATCGGCAATCTCTTTTTAATTTTTATTTTTATTTATTTATTTTTCAGCATCTACATTAAGGACACAGCAGTGTCTCTTGTTAAAGAACTTCTTGGCCAGGTGTGGTGGTTCATGCCTGTAATTCCAGCACTTTGGGAGGCTGAGGCAGGAGGATTGGCTGAGGTCAGGAGTTTGAAAACCTGTGTCTACTAAAAATACAAAAAGTAGCTGGGCATGGTGGTGTGCACCTGTAGTCCCAGCTACTCGGGAGGCTGAGACAGGAGAATTGCTTGATCCCGGGAGGCGGAGGTTGCAGTGAGCTGAGATAGTGCCATATATATGTGAATCTATTTCTGAACTCTCCAATCTGTTCCAGTGATCTTTTTTTTTTTTTTTTTAGACAGAGTCTCACTCTGTTGCACAGTCTGGAGTGCAGTGGCGTGATCTCAACAGCCGTGTTGTCCAGGCTGGTTTCGAACTCCTGATCTCAGGTGATCTGCCTGCCTCGGCCTCCCAAAGTGCTGGGATTACAGGCGTGAGCCACCGCACCTGGCCTAGATCTATCCTTTCTATAATATTATACTATTTTGAATATGATAACTTTATCAGGTTGTGTGGCTTTTCCAACTTTGTTCTTTTTCAAAATTGTTTTGGCTATTCTAGTTCCTTTGTCATTCTGTATAAATTTTAGAATCAACTTAATGATTTCTACAAAAAAATCCTATTGGGAGTTTAATTAGAATTGTGTTGGATCTTTCAATCAATTTGGGGAGAACTGACATCTTTACTCTGATGAGTCTTCCAAATCAATAAACAAATATATCTCTCCAGTTATTCAGGTCTTCTATTTCTTCCATCAGCATTTTATTAGTTCAGCATATAGAATTTGTATATATTATGTAAGATTTCTACCCAAAAGATTTCATATTTTTCACACTATTTTAAATAGTACTGTGTTTTAAAATTTAATTTCCAAGTAGTTATTGTTAGTATATAGAATTATGAATTATTGTTGACTTTGTACCCTGTGATCTTGCTAAATGTACTTATTAGATCTAATAGCTTTTTTGAAGATTCTTTGAGATTTTCTACATAGATAGTAATTTCTTTCTTTTTTTTCACTGAGGATTTTTGCAACTTCTTTCCATGCCTCCCCGGTCAGTGTGACAGCCATGCTCTGCTCACACTCTGTCTTGTTGCATCGTGGCCAGGACATTGTTCCCAGCAGAATCCTGGCGTAATCATGGGATTCACCTACCGAATTTCCTTCTGTCTATCGTGCCTGAAAATAGTTGCTTTATATATTTTATCCAGTTTTGCAACTGCTTATGGTGGGAGGCCTAGTCAGTTACCAGTTACTCTGTGGACAGAAGCAAAAGCAAAATCCTACCTTAATATTAAAGGAGAAATGATTGACCCTTCTGCTTTCATCTTGCCTGGGTCAGGCATAATGCTCAAAGAACAAGTAATAGGAGGCTGGGCGCGGTGGCTCACGCCTGTAATCCCAGCACTTTGGGAGGCTGAGGTGGGTGGATCATGAGGTCAGGAGATCAAGACCATCCTGGCTAACATGGTGAAACCCCGTCTCTACTAAAAGTACAAAAAAAATTAGCCGGGCGTGGTGGCGGGCGCCTGTAGTCCCAGCTACTCGGGAGGCTGAGGCAGGAGAATGGCGTGAACCCAGGAGGCAGAACATGCAGTGAGCAGAGATGGCGCCACTGCCCTCCAACCTGGGTGACAGAGCGAGACTCTGCCTCAACAACAACAACAACAAAAAAAGAACAAGTAATAGTTTTGTGACATGAGGACGAAAGGTGTACACTAAGGCTGACACAGCAGGGAGGCAGAGCAGGTTGGGTTGTGAAGGCACTGTGGAATGGTTATACTACTAGTCCTAAAATGCTGCTCTCTAGCCTGAAAGTTGCATGAACAAACTGTTCATTCACGGTGCTATCTGCTGGGTTTTCTGTTACTTACTATAGGTAGGTGGAAAAGTAATGGCAAAAACCTATTATGTTGCACCAACCTAATAATAAGTTCAGTCCTAACTGATATAAAATTATAGCCCAGAGAAAAGGTATGTAACAGTCTAATTTATGACTTAGGTTCAAACATCCAAAAAATAATATTAGTAAATAAACTGCAGAAGACTAAATTGAAGAGTACATCATAAGCAAATAGGATTTCTTAATGAATGGAAAGATGGCTCAACAATGGGAAATTTGTTCATATAATTCTCAAAAGAAGATAAACACTGTCATTGCTAGGAGTTCAGAGTATCCAGTTACCTAATACTCTGGCTGAGAATGCTAGTTGTTCATCAAAATCTCTTCTCCCTCCATATCATGTATCTATTGCCACAGTTACGCTGGATAACAAACTGCTCCCAAAATGAGGTGGCTTAAACACACCAATTATTATTTCCCATCACTCTATGGGTTGTCTGAATGGTTCTGGGGAAGCTGGCTGGATTTGACTGGTCTTGACTGAACTTAGTCGTACATCTGTTAGCAGCTGATAGCTCAGCTGAGGTCTGACTCTGCTCCACATGGTCTCTCATCCTCCTGTAGAGTAGCTAGCCTGAGCTTGTTCTTGTGGTGAGACAGAGGAGCAAAAGAACAAACAAGGTGTACAAGACTTCTTGGGGTCTAGGCTCAGCTTAGATCTGCCATTCATTACTTCTGCTGTATTCCATTGGCCACAATGTGACAAACCACCATGGAGACATTTCAAAGTAGGTGGATGAGAACTGATTCAAGGAGTAGAGAAATAGACTTCTCGTGATGGGAGAAATTGCAAAGTCATATTGTGGATGTGGCTACAGGGAGGGGTGGAGAATTGCGGTAATGTTTTTGCTATCTACCACAGCTTCTTTCAGGGTCATGAAATTGTTGCTGGGCGCAGTGGCTCACTCCTGTAATCCCAGCATTTTGGGAGGCCAAGGTGGGCGGATCACCTGAAGTCAGAAATTCAAGACCAGCCTGGCCAACATGGCGAAACTCTGTCTCTACTAAAAATACAAAAAAATTAGCCAGGCGTGGTGTCGCCTGCCTGTAGTCCCAGCTACGTGCCTGTAGTTCCAGCTACGTGCCTGTAGTCCCAGCTACTCGGGAGGCTGAGGCACCAGAATTGCTTGAACCCCGGAGGCAGAGGTTGCAGTGAGCCAAGATCGCGCCACTGCACTCCAGCCTGGGTGACAGAGTGAGACTCTGTCTCAAAAAAAAAAAAAAAAAAAAAAAAAGAAATCTTAGCTATATTTCCCCGCCTCCTTTGCAGTAAAGTAGGCCACATGACCATGCTTTTGTCACTAAAACCTGAGTAAAAGGAAAAGTGGCACTTGAAATCTTTTTTTTTCTTTGAGACAGAGTCTCACTCTTGTCGCCCAGGCTGGAGTGTAATGGCACAATCTAGGCTCACTGCAACCTGTGCCTCTGGGGTTCCAGTGATTCTCCTGCCTCAGCCTCCCAAGTATCTGGGATTACAGGTGTGAGCCACTGCGCCTGGCCGGCACTTGAAATTTTAAGACAGTGGGTGCACCTCTTCCCTTCCATACTCTTTCTCTTTCCACCAGGTGGCATCCACAGCCCTCCAGCCTGAAGCATGCAGGCAGTGACAAGGCCTAGGGGATGACGTAACTGTACGATGGAAGAAAACTGGGTCCTAAATGGCAGGGTGGAACAGAACCAGGAAAGTTCGTGTCAGGCTGATAGAAAAGAGAGGGAAATAAACACCTATCTTCCTTAAGCCCACAGTGTCTCTTTACCATTTGGATGTTTTTATTATAGCAGCCTAACCTTACCTTAACTAACTATAACCCTCAAGTTCTGAAACAATTGAAAAATAAAACAAAAGAATATGGCTATGGAGGCCAGAATACTATCTTTATTATTATTATTTTAGAGATGGGGTCTTCTTCTGTTGCCCGGACTGGAATGCAGTGGTGTGATCTTGGCTCATTGCAATCTCCACCTCGTGGGTTCAGGCAATTCAAGCAATAATTCTCCTGAGTAGCTGGGACTACAGGTGCACACCACCACGCCCGGCTAATTTTTGTATTTTTTTTAGTAGAGACAGGGTTTCGCCATTATGGCCAGGCTGGTCTTGAACTCCTGACCTTATGTGATCCATCCCCCCCGCTCAGCCTCCCAAAGTGCTGGGATTACAGGCATGAGCCACCTTGCCCAGCCAGCCCTCTGTGTTTTAAGGCTGCAAAAGAAAACACTGCGGGCATTGGATCCCAGGGAAAGAATGGCCCAGTGGGCGGGTGCCTAAGGGGGTGAGGGGACCCTGAAGTCTCTCCCAAGGTGGGGAAAGCTGGGCGGACACCCCTCTGCTCTGTATCAGAGCCACTGGGGTGGGAGAGAATGTGCGGCACTCAGAGGAAGGAGTGAGGTCCCAGTGGGAGGCCCAGACGTCCCACAAATGTGGCAGGTGGACAGGCAGCTTGGAAAGCACAAATCCGCAGGATCGTGCCCATACGAGTGGAGGTGGGGGGGTCCCTCAGGTGCTCTGTGGGCAGATGCTCCCCTCTCTCTCCAGGTGGTTTCTGAGGGGCCACAGAACTTTGACCACTTTCCTCAAATACCCCTTTCTGTGTATCAAATAGTTCTGAACAATTTGAAAAGAAGTCCACGTTCTCCGCTTTGAGTCAATCTCTTGTTCCTTTGCATAACAAATCCCCCCTCTTCCTTACCCCAAGATGTGAGGTCAAAAGAGGGGTGTCCCCTCACAGCTCCAGCAAAAACCATTCCACTGTGCCGTAGGCCACTGGGGCTTTCAAAAGCCTCACTGTGGCTGGGTGCAGTGGCTCATGTCTGTAATCCCAGCACTTTGGGAGGTCGAGGTGCCAGATCATCCACTCTAGTCGGGTTCAAGACCAGCCTGACCAACATGGTGAAAACCCATCTTTACTAAAAATACAAAAAAATTAGCTGGTCGTGGTGGGGGGCACCTGTAATCCCAGCTACTTGGGAGGCTTAGGCAGGAGAATTGCTTGAACCTAGGAGGCAGAGATTGCAGTGAGCTGAGATTGCGCCATTGCACTCCAGCACAGACGACAGAACGAGACTCCGTCTCAAAAACAAACAAACACAAAACTAATACAATGTAAATGTCATGTCAATTGTTGTTATACTGCATTGTTGAGGGAATAATGAGAAGACAAAAATATCTGGACATGCTCAGTACAGAGACTTTTTTTTTTCATAAATTTACAATCCCAGATTGGTTGATTCCACTGGTGTACATCTCACGGACAGAAAGGGCCAACTGTTTAATTACAAACAAAAGTGAACCAATCCCATGTATACAGTTTAATGCATTTTCATAAACTGAGCACACCTGTTTCACCAGCTCCCAGGCCAAGAAAGAGAATCTGGGCAGCACCCAGGAAGCCCCTGACACCTTTTCCAGCCACTGCCCACCCAAACCTCGAGGCCCATATAGGTTTTTGGCCTGTTTTGTACCACCTGTGAAGGAAATCTTACGGTGCTCTTCAGTATATTTTTTCAGTCTTGCACCTGTGGGTTCATTCTCCCTGCCCCGCCCTGTTGCTCCTGAGTGTGAGGAAGCCACAGGAATGGCCTGTTCCTGTTTTCTTCGGAGTGAGAGAGTGGGCGTGGGCTTTCTGAAGTGCACTGCCCAGTGACATGGGCAGGGGGATGGGGGCGTGTTCTGGGGACTAGGCTTTTATCTGATTCTCAGGGTCTAGATGCAGGGATAGATGTGGGAAAGGAAAATTAATAAATTTCAAATCGCAAGACCCCAAAGTCACTAAGTCAAAGGGAAAAGTCAAACTGGGAACTGAGTCAGGCAAAGCTGCCTCCTATTTTATTCCTTCATTAAGAAACTACAAAGAGCTACATACTTCCTTCACAATTTACCCACAGGGAAATTGCCTGTGAGCCTCAATTCACCCTGGCAATGTAAATTGATAGCTTATCTTCACAGGTGCGGGACAAAGGCTAGAACTCAAAGTCATCCCTCTGCTCACCTGAGACAAATGCATACCTGATTTCTCCTTCTGCCGTATTGTTTATGTAAAAATGCAGATTCACTGAGCCAGACTGAGGCATAAGTCGACTATTCCTCTACCCCACTCTCACATGTAAATTGTGTTTTCAGTGAAAGGCTGAACAAAGATTCAAAAGAAGGCAACCTTTTGTCTCTTATCCACCTAAGACCTGGGACCCCCACAACCCCCCTTCGAGTTGTCCTGCCTTTCCAGAGCAAACCAATGTTCATCTCACATGTATTAATCAATGTCTCATGTCTCCCTAAAATGTATAAAACCAGGCCGGGCGCGGTGGCTCATGCCTATAATCCCAGCACTTTGGGAGGCCTAAGCGGGCAGATCATGAAGTCAGGAGTTCGAGACCAGCTTGACCAACATGGTGAAACCCCGTCTCTACTAAAAATACAAAAATTAGCTGAGCGTGGTGATGTGCACCTGTAATCCTAGCTACTCAGGAGGCTAAGGCAGGAGAATTGCTTGAACCCGGGAGGCAGAGGTTGCAGTGAGCCAAGATTATGCTATTGCACTCCAGCCTGGGCGACAGAGCCAGAGAGCGAGACTCCATCTCAAACAAAAAACCAGGCTTGGACACATGTCCTCAGGGGACCTCCTGAGGAGTGTCCTTAATCAGCTTTCTTTCATTCTTTCTTTTTGCGATGGAGTTTCGCTCTTTTGCCCAGGACGGAGTGAAGTGGCATGATCTCGGTTCACTGCAACCTCTGCCACCGCTAGGTTCAAATGATTTTTCTGCCTCAGCCTCCCAAGTAGCTGGGATTATAGGCACCTGCCACCACCCCCGGCTAATTTTTGTATTTTCAGTAGAGTCGGGGTTTCGCCATGTTGGCCAGGCTGGTCTCGATCTCCTGACCTCAGGTCATCAAACTGCCTAGGCCTCCCAAAGTGCTAGGATTACAGGCATGAGCCACTGTGCCTGGCCCTTAATCAGCTTTCTAAATTGATTGAAACGTTGACTGGGCACGGTGGCTCACACCTATCATCCCAGCACTTTGGGAGGCCGAGGTGGGTGGATCACCTGACATCAGGAGTTTGAGACCAGCCTGGTCTACGTGGTGAAACCCCATCTCTACTGAAAATACAAAAATTAGCAAGATGTGGTGTTGGGTGCCTGTAGTCCCAGCCACTCAGGAGGCTGAGGCAGGTGAATCGCTTGAACCCGGGAGGCAGAGGTTGCAGTGAGGTGAGATTGCATCATTGTACTCCAGCCTGGGCAACAAGAGCGAAACTCGATCTCAAAAAAAAAAAAGATTAAGTTGTTTGAGACCTGTCTCAGATACTTTTGCTTCACCGATAGGAGATAGAGGTTAAGAGCTTCTCTTTGTTCATGTCATTTCTGTGGCCCTGGGCTCTCAAGATCCCCTGTCCGCTTGTGGGGTCCCCAGCCCTGACATGTTTTATTGCACAGGCAGGAGTAGAGCTGCTGGGTCAGACCCAGCCCTGGGGACACCAGGGACGGTCATGCTGGCATTCAAGCCCAGTCCCGGCAGCTTGGGCTCCTCTTCTGAGCGTGCCAGTGGCCTCCTGGGGGCCAGCTCCTTGGAAACATGTTGGCCCTTCAGCTGCTCCCCAGGGCCCCCTCCCCCCAGGCCCGCTCCGCTCCCTCAACTTCTAAGTGTGGCTCAAACCTCCTTTCAGGGGTCAGGAAGCCATTCAGTGTGCACTGCCCGCTTCCTGTGGTCATCCCGCTCAGACCCTTGTCTGTATTTGCTCCCTCATCCTCGTCTTTTTGAATTTTGAAAGATCCCCTGAGGTGCAGCCTGCTGTAGGCCTCAGCCCAGGCTGGGAGCGGGAAGCTGGGGCTGTTTCCACGTCCTCAGAGCCTTTGTGCCCCTCCCTCTTCCAGCCCCTCCAGGGTGGTGGCAGCCAGAACAGCACCCGCTCTGTCCCCTCGGGTAGCCGGGACACGTCTTCCTGGGCCAGCTCTGAGCGCAACAAGCCACAGGTCCAACGCGCGCGATCTTCCAGTCCCACAATGCCCCCTCCCCGTCCCATTTCTGGCACTTAGACACGAGTCAAGGTAGAGGAGAAAAACCTGCTTTATTTTATTTTCACCATTTCTGGGGTGGCTATGGGGGAAGCGAGTGGCGCGCTTCGAGGGTGTTCGGAGCCATCAAGTTTCAGCGCTGGGAGAAGGTGGCTTCCGCGTCGCAGGCAGGGTCGGCGTGGCAGCCGTCTGGAGGAAGAGGTGGAGTCAGGGGAATCCCGGCCGCACCCCCGCCCGCCTCCCCCTGGCCCCGGAGCGCCTTGCCCCGCTCACCCGGGCTGCAGCAGAGGCCCAAGACCGCGCAGCGGCCCCCGCTCCCGCACGCCTTCTGGCCGGACTGGCAGGGCGACGGCAGGTAGTTCTCCTCCTGGCAGCGCAGCGCTTCGGCGGTGCCCACGAAGCAGCCCAGCTCTTCCGCGCAGCAGATATTGGGCCCGAAGCAGCGGCCTTTGCCCCCGGGGCCGCAGGGGAGGCACTGCGGGGACGGGCGGGGTGAGCGGGAGCCGGGGCGGCGCTGGGGACTCGCTCGGAGGACCCTGCGAGGCCGGCCGGGGTGCGCCGGGCAAGGATGCTGGGGTCCGGGGTTCGGAGTTCGGGCGGGACAGCGGGGCTGAGACGCGCTGGGGCGCCGTGGGGGCCTCGACCGCGGTCAAGGGCGGGGCGTCAAAATCCGCTCAGCTCCTGGAGTTCTCAGGCGAGGCCGGAGCGGGGCGCGCCCCTGTGGCTGCGGGTCCCTCCCTCCCCGGAGCGCCGCGGGACCAGGGCTGGGGACTCACCTTGCGCACGTCGAGGTCCGGCGCGGCCCTCTTGCCTCCCAGGGGGCAGTTCTGGATGTAGCAGGCGGAGGTCAGCGCCAGGAGGCCGAGCAGACAGCAAGCGAGGCTGGGGCCGGCCATGGTGCGGGTGCGCTGGGTCCAGGGTCCGTGACTGGTGGCGGTCTCTCCGGCCTGGCCTTTTTATGCCTGGGCATTGCGTCGGTGGAGCTCTGTTTAAGAGGTTGGTAGTATGATTGGTCACAGAGGGTCGCCGTGGGTCAGGCCGAGTGCGTACGGGCTTTCCTCTTCATTAGCAGGGCCTGGGCCGGGGTCAAGGTCACCGCGTTGGCTAATGGTCTGGGCACAGAAGGTGAGGTGCCTTGCGGAAGGGAGCAGGCCGGGGTGGCCTGGGCCACTAGGGTGGGACAGGGAGAATTTGGGGTGGGGTGTGGCCCAGCCGAAGACTTTATCCAGCCTCCCAGTACCTCGAGGAGGGGGGCTGGGGCAGGGAAGGTGGACGCTGGGACCCCTCCAGGTGGGAGGAGGCTCTGGCAGGATCCGCCCACCCTCTTGGCCCACCACGCATGTGGATCATTGTCCCCTCTTTTAGGAACATTTCCTCTTCCTAAACCCAAATTTCCAGAAAACCTCTTCACCCTCACCACACAGCAACACCCACTTCCCTGCACCTGAAACTTGGATAGGAAGAGATCACATCTGTCTCTAATCTGTAACTGATATTCCACCTTTCCTTTCACTATAAATTAGGCAACAAACCACAGCAGAATTAGCAATACCTGTGGCTTTGTCACAAATCAAAATAGAAGATAACTTCCTATCACAGCTGTCACAAATGCCTCTATATACTGTTTAGATTCATTATATCTTCAAAATTATCACAGTTATTGGGCCACGACCAGATCTTGCTATCTAATGGTTAAAGAAGCACGTTTATGACACCATCAAAATGTGTTTTGGCTGGGCGCTGTGGCTCACGCCTGCAATCCCAATACTTTGGGAGTCTGAGGTGGGCAGATCACTTGAGACCAGAAGTTCAAGACCAGCCTAGGCAACATAGCGAGAACCCCCAACTCTACAAAAAATACAAAAATTAGCTGGGCGTGTTGGTGTGCTCCTGTAGTCTCAGCTGCTTGGGAGGCTGAGGCAGGAGTACCGCTTAAGCCTGGGAATTCAAGACTGCAGTGAGCTGTGATCGTACCACTGCACTCCAGCCAGAGTGACAGAGCGAGAGCGAGACCCTGTCTCAAAAAAAAAAAAAGTGTTTTAACATTTTGATATCTGAATATAAATATATATATTTTTTTCTTGAGACGGAGTCTCGCTCTGTCGCCCAGGCTGGAGTGCAATGGCGGGCGCCATCTTGGCTCACTGCAACCTCCACCTCCTGGTTTCAAGCGATTCTCCTGTCTCAGCCTCCCAAGTAGCTTGGATTACAGACATGCACCACCACGCCTGGCTAATTTGTGTATTTTCAGTAAAGACGGGGGTTTCACCATGTTGACCAGGCTGGTCTCGAACTCCTGACCTCAGGTGATCCACCCGCCTCAGCCTCCCAAAGTGCTAGGATTACAGGCTTGAGCTGCTGTGCCTGGCCCTGTAATTGGTTTCTTTTGTAATTCTATTTCTCTCATTTTCGACATTAAAATTTTTTTTGGCTGGGCGTGGTGGTTGACCAACCTGGCCAACATGGTGAAACCCCATCTCTACTAAAAATATAAAAATACAAAAATTAGCTGGGCGTGAGGTAGGCACCTGTAATCACAGCTATTCAGGAGGCTGAGGCAGGAGAATCAGTTGAACCCAGGAGGCGGAGGTTGCAGTGAGCCAAGATCATGCCACTGCACTCCAGCCTAGGTGATAGAGCGAGACTCCGTCTCAAAAAAATAAAAATTTTTTTTTTTGCATTTTTAATATATCTCAAAAGGAAAATAATTAAAAGAAAAGATGGATTACCCCAGTGGGAGAGGTATTGGTAGATATCATGAACAAGAAAGGAAAGGCGCTGCTCAACTCTCCCTTTGTGAAAGCACCTGCCACCCAGCTGCTGGGAGTGCCCTCTGCAGGTGGCCCTCAGGGGTAGCTCCTCGAGAGCCTGCTTCAGCTGCAGAGAGCTGCCTGGCTCAGGGTCACACCCTTCCCAGGTGGCCCGCATCCAATGACTGGTCCATTTTGGCCCAAATGCAGGATAACTCTGAAGGAGCATTTTGGCTCCAGAGCTCCCTATGGGGTCAGCTGTGGTCTGCATAGCAGTTCTCCCTCTGCTCACTCCTATTTTTGACCCCTCCCTCCCAAAGGTGTGGGTCCCCAGGGCCTTCTGTAATAAAAACCCCCTTTGTGAAACCATCTCCGTCTGCTCTCTAGGGAACCCAACCTGTAGGGAACCCAACCTGAGGCAGAATGGAAGAAATGAGAAGCACTGTGAGAGACCAGCCTCACTGGTGGGCCAGTCCCCGACCCCTGGGAGAAGAGAACGGGACAGCTCCAGACTCTCCTGCCCTCTTGTTGAGGAAGGTGAAGAGGCTGATGGGGCCAAGCAGGTCACAGAGCTCATCTGACCCTAGTCACTGGCATGAGTCACTGGCATGAGCTGTCCAGCACCCAGGAGCCGGTCAGGCTGACCTGCATTACAAATCAGCAGCCAGTCCTCTCTCACCCAGATTAGCTTATTGGCATTCAGGGCCTAGAAGTCCAAGGGCCTGACCCAGCAGTGGCCCAGAGAGGTCTCTCACCTGCTCTGTGGGCACGATGACCTCACTTAAGCTAACACATGTGCATAAATTACCATAGTATTATGTCCCCCAGATGGGCTGCATCCCTTCACCTGTTCAACAACCCCTCTTCTGAAGATGCTCCGGGTCCCATTACAAATGCCTGGAAACAGCAGCAACAAAACACAAAAACCTCTGCCCTCATGGGGCTTATATTCTAGTGGAGGAAGAGAGATGTTAAACAATAAACACATTTCAGTTAGTTAGGAAACAAGTATAAACAATAAACATACTTCAGTAACAACATACATATTGCAGTAGATTAGTAAGTGCTACAGAGATAAAAGGGAGGCCTGTTGCGATTTCACCGAGGGTGGTCAGTGTAGACTTCTTTGTGAAGAAGAGAAAATAAACCATGCAGATATCTGAGGGGACATTGGTTTTCTGTTGCTGTGTAACAAATTACCACAGGCCAGGCACGGTGGCTTGTGCCTGTAATCCCAGCACTTTGGGAGTCTGAAGCGAGAGGATCACTTAAGCCCAGGAATTAGAGACCAGCCTGGGCAACATAGGGAGACCCAGGCTCTATAAAATGTTTTTAAAAAATTAGCTGGGTTTGTTGGCATGCACCTGCAGTCCCAGCTACTTGGGAGGCTGAGACAGGAAGATCACTTGAGCCCAGGAGTTCGAGGCTGCAGTGAACTAGGATGATGCCACTGCACTCCAGCCTAGGCGACGGAGCGTGACTCTGTCTCAAAACGAAAACAAAAACACAAAAGCTACCACAATTTGGCAGCTTAAAACAACATTTGCTTATTACATTGGGCCAGGCATGGCTTAGCTGGGTCTTTTGCTCTGGGGCTACGATCAGGGTGTCAGCCAGGCTGCATTCATTTCCAGAGCCCGGGTGATTGTTAGCAGAATTCATTTCCTTGCAGCTGTCAAACTCGTGGTGGCCTGCTTCTTCAAGGTCAGGAACAGAGAGAGTCTCTGCTGCTTCAAGTCTAAGCACACAGGGAGTCCTTTTCTGAGGGGCACCTGACCTGATTAGGTCAGACCCACACGGATCACCACCCTTTTAACTCGGATTGATCAGGTGTCTTCATTACATCTGCAGAATCCCCTCACCTTTGCCATATAACGTAGTATAGTCGTGGTTATCACCTTTGTCATCTTCTTCTAATGTTTAGAAGAAAGTTGGCTGGGCACAGTGGGCCACGCCTGTTTTTGTTTTTGTTTTGAGACTGAGTCACGCTCCGTGGCCCAGGCTGGAGCGTGGTTGGCTGGGCGCGCTGGCTCCCAGCACTTTGGGAGGCCAGCGGTGGGTGGATCACTTGAGGTCAGGAGTTCGAGACCAGTCTGGCCAATATGGTGAAACCCCGTCTCTACTAAAAAAAATACAAACAAATTTAGCCGGGCGCAGTGGTGGAAGCCTTTAGTCCCATCTACTCGGGAGGTGGAGGAACCCAGGAGGTGGAGGTGGCAGTGAGCCGAGATCACGCCACTGCACTTCAGCCTGGGTGACAGAGTGAGACTCTGTCCGTCTCAAAAAAAAAAAAAAAAAGCTATGGGTTCTACCCACATGAAGCCAGAAAAGATTACACAAAGGTAATCATTGTGTAATCCACAGAAAGATACCAGGGGCTGAGAATTTCAGGGATCCACTTTAGCATTCTGCCTGTAATGGAGGGGAGGAAATGACAAGTGCTGAGGTCCTGAGGCAGGAATGTGCCTGGCATGTTCAAGGAGCAAGGAGGCCAGTGGTCCTGGAGCAGAGTGACTGAACTCCCGAGATCGGAAAGGTAACGTGGGACTGCACCTCACAGGGCTTGGGCTTTTCCTCCAAATGAAATGGGGGAATGAGAGGGAGTTCTGAGCCAGCTTACGATAACTTTGGATATAGTGCTGTGACAAGACTGTGGGGAACCAGGCGCGGTGGCTCACACCTGTTATCCCCGCACTTTGGGAGGCTGAGGTGGGTGGATCATGAGGTCAGGAGATCAAGACCATCCTGGCTAACATGGTGAAACTCCGTCTCTACTAAAAATACAAAAAAATTAGCTGGGCATGGTGGCTGGCGCCTGTAGTCCCAGCTACTCTGGAGGCTGAGGCAGGAGAATCGCTTGAACCCGGGAGGTGGAGGTTGCAGTGAGCCAAGATCGTGCCACTGCACTCCAGCCTGGGCGACAGAGCGAGACTCCTTCCAAAAAAAAAAAAAAAAGACTGTGGGGAAACTAGGGAGGAGGCTATGCAGCAATCCCTGTGAGTAATGGGAGTGCAATGTGTGTGTCGAGAAGTGACCTGATTCTTGGTGCATTTTAAAGGAGATACCAACTGCAGTTTGCTGATGGATTGGATGTGAGTGGGAGAGAAAAAGAGGAGTCGAAGATGACTTCAATATTTCTGGTCTGGGCCGGGTGGGATGGCTCATGCCTGTATTCCCAGCTACTCGGGAGGCTGAGACAGGAGAATCACTTGAACCTGGGAGGTAGAGGTTGCAGTGAACTGAGATAGCACCGTTGCACTCCAGCCTGGGTGAAACAGTGACTCTGTCTCAAAAAAAAGATTTCTGGGCCAGGAGTAGTGGCTCATGCCTGTAATCCCAGCACTTTGGGAGGCCAAGACTGGGGGGTCACCTGAGGTCAGGAGTTTGAGACCAGCCTGGCCAACATGGTGAAACCTCGTCTCCACTAAAAAATACAAAAATTAGCCAGGCATGATGGCGTGTGCGTGTAGTCCCAGCTACTAAGGAGGCTGAGGCAGGGGAATCACTTGAACCCGGGAGGCAGAGGTTGCAGTGAGCAGAGATGGTGCCACTGCACTCCAGCCTGGGCAACAGAGCGAGACTCTGTCTCAAAAACAAGAACAAAAACAAAACAAGATTTCTGGCTTGAGCAATGGGAAGGATGAAGGTGCCATCAGCTGGCATGGGAACCTGAGGGTGGCACTGATTTGAGTTGGGAAGAGCAGGGGCTCAGTGCGGACCTGTCATGTTTGGGATGCCCGCTACACATCCAAGAAGAACCTGAGCAGGCATTTGGAGGTGTGTCTGGAGTTCAGGAGAGAGGTCTAGGCTGAAGCAATGGTCAGTACCAATATTTATTTATCTTATTTATTTATTGAGACAGTTTCGCTCTTGTTGCCCAGGCTGGAGTGTAATAGCACAATCTCAGCTCACTGCAGCCTCTGCCTCCCGGGTTCAAGCGATTCTCCTGCCTCAGCCTCCTGAGTAGCTGGGATTACAGGCATGCACCACCACGCCCAGCTAATTTTGTATTTATGGTAGAGACAGGGTTTCTCCATGTTGGTCGGGCAGGTCTCAAACTCCCGACCTCAGGTGGTCTGCCTGCTTTGGCCTCCCAAAGTGCTGGGGTTATAGGCGTGAGCCACCGCGCCCAGCCAGTACCAATATTTAAAGGCCCCACCAGAGTGACATCACCCTGGGGCAGGACAGATGGAGAAGAGGACCAAGGATCCCACTCTAAGCAAGGTAGGGGGAAACAAGCAGGGGTCTGAGGACAGGGTTTCACGGAGGAGGAAGTGTGCCAGATGCCAAAGGACATGTAAGGGAGGGACTGAAACTTGAACTTCTTTATTTAAAAAACTCCAGTGAAGTGCAATTTACAGATCGTAATTTGTACGCACTCTAAGCGTACTGTTTGGTGATTTTTGGTAAATTCAAACAGTTGTCCAGCCACTCCCACAATCCAGTTTTAGAATACTCTGTCCCCATGTCAAGTTCCCCCATGCCCATTTGCCTTACTGCTGGCTCCCACCCCAGCCCCCAGGAAACCACTGATAAAGATTTGCCTTTTCTAGAAATGTCACCTAAATGGAACAATACAGTACTTGATCATTTATGTCTGGCGTTCTGAGGTTCATCCAAGTTATTTTGTGTATCAGTAGTGAAACTACCGATGCAAAATTCTAGCTGAGACAGTGAAAGAGATCTGTCCTAGCCAGTTCCATCTTGCTTTAACCTCCACGCTGTCCTTGTTCAATCCTGGGCGTAGGCTGAACTTACTTTGGGATGAACTTAGTACATAGTTTATAGTTTAAAACAAAGGCAGTAACAGCCCTTTCCCAAACCAAACCTCCTTCTTGCCTGGGGACTAGACTGCCTTGGTAGAACTAACATATTAGCCACAAGATTAGAAATTATGGTTTAGGAGTCATGCAGCTGGAGGCTAGAAGATTCTGACCCTCTCCAAATTGCTCCTGGGGATAGCATCACTATTGTCAAACCTAAGATCAGTGCTTGAGATATTTTGCAGACCTGCACTCTATGGATCAGTTAGCACCACCCAGATCAATAAACTGGCTCATCTGATATTGTGGCCCCCACCCAGGAACTCACTCAATGCAAGAGGACAGCTTCTTCTCCACCCCAGCCAATAAACACTCCTGACCCAATGACTGCCCCGCCACCCAGCACATTATTCTTAAAAACTCTGATTCCTGAATGCTCAGAGAGACTGTTTTGAGCAATAATGAAACTTCTGTCTCCTGCCCACCTGGCTCTGAGTGAATTACTCTTTCTGTATTGCAATTCCCCTGTCCTGATAAATTGGCTGTCTAGGCAGTGGGTAAGGTGAACCTGTTGGGCGGTTACAGTAGTTCATTCCTGTTTCATTCCTGTTTATTGTTTTTCTTTTTTTTCTTTTCACTTTGTTGCCCAGGCTGGAGTGCAGTGGTGCAATCTCAGCTCACTGCAGCCTTGACCACCCAGGCTCAAGTGATCCTCCCCCTTCAGCCTCCAGAGTAGCTGGGACTACATGTGCGCACCACCACGCCTGGCTAATATTTGTATTTTTTGTAGAGGGTCTCACTTTGTCACCCAGGCTGGAGTGCAGTGGCATGATCAGCTCACTGCAACCTCTGCCTCCCGGGTTCAAGTGATTCTCGTGCCTCAGCCCACAAAGTAGCTGTGATTACAGATGTGAGCCACGATGCCTGGCTAATTTTTGCATTTTTTGTAGAGATGGGGGTTTCACCGTGTTGCCCAGGCTGGTCTTGAACTCCTGAGCTCAAGCAATCCGCTTGCCTTGGCCTCCCAAAGTGCTAGGATTACAGGCGTGAGCCGCTGTGCCTGGCCTCATTGTCATTTTTATTTGCATTTTTCTGATGATTACTAATGTTGAGCAATTTTTTCATATACCTGTTGGCCATTTGTATGTCTTTTTTTATGTTATTTTATTTTTATTTATTTATTTTTAAAAAAATTTTTTAGTATTTATTGATCATTCTTGGGTGTTTCTCGGAGAGGGGGATTTGGCAGGGTCATAGGACAACAGTGGAGGGAAGGTCAGCAGATAAACACCTGAGCAAAGGTCTCTGGTTTTCCTAGGCAGAGGACCCTGCGGCCTTCCGCAGTGTTTGTGTCCCTGGGTACTTGAGATTAGGGAGTGGTGATGACTCTTAAGGAGCCTGCTGCCTTCAAGCATCTGTTTAACAAAGCACATCTTGCACCGCCCTTAATCCATTCAACCCTGAGTGGACACAGCACATGTTTCAGAGAGCACGGGGTTGGGGGTAAGGTTATAGATTAACAGCATCCCAAGGCAGAAGAATTTGTCTTAGTACAGAACAAAATGGAGTCTCCTATGTCTACTTCTTTCTACACAGACACAGTAACAATCTGATCTCTCTTTCTTTTCCCCACATTTCCCCCTTTTCTATTCGACAAAACCGCCATCGTCATCATGGCCCGTTCTCAATGAGCTGTTGGGTACACCTCCCAGACGGGGCGGCGGCCGGGCAGGGTATTTATTTATTTATTTTTTGAGATGGAGTCTCGCTCTGTCACCCAGGCTGGAGTGCAGTGGCCCAATCTTGGCTCACTGCAAGCTCCGCCTCCCGGGTTCACGCCATTCTCCTGCCCCAGCCTCCTGAGTAGCTGGGACTACAGACGCCTGCCACCACGACTGGCTAATTTTTTTTGTATTTTTTAGTAGAGATGGGGTTTCACCGTGTTAGCCAGGATGGTCTCCATCTCCTGATCTTGTGATCTGCCCGCCTTGGCCTCCCAAAGTGCTGGGATTATAGGTGTGAGCCACTGTGCCCGGCCTTTTATTTTATTTTTTAGAGACAGAGTCTCACTTTGTTGCCCAGGCTGGAGTACAGTGGCACGATCATAGCTCACTATAACCTCCAACTTCTAGGCTCAAGCATGCGTGTCTTCTTTTGAGATATCTATTCAGATCCTTTGGCCACTTTTTTTTTTTTTTTTTTTTTTTTGAGACAGTCTCGCTTTGTCACCCAGGCTGGAGTGCAAAGGCATGATCTTGGCTCACTGCAACCTCTGCCTCCCAGGTTCAAGCAATTCTCCTGCCTCAGCCTCCCGAGTAGCTGGGATTACAAGCGCACACCACCAGGCCCGGCTAATTTTTTGTATTTTTAGTAGAGACGGGGTTTCACCCTATTGGCCAGGCTGGTCTCAAATTCCTGACCTTATGATCCGCCCACCTCGGCCTCCCAAAGTGCTGGGATTACAGGCGTGAGCCACCGCGCCCAGCCCTTTGCCCACTTTTTACTGGGATTGTTTATGTTTTTGCTGCTGAGTTGTTTGAATTCCTTGTATATTCTGAATATTAGCCCCTTGTCAGATGAATGGTTTGTAAAGATTTCCTCCTGTTCTACAGGTTGTTTCTGTTGATTGCTTCCTTTGCTGTTCAGAAGCTTTTTAGTTGACTGTATTCCCATTTGTCTATTTTGTTGTTGTTGTTGTTGTTGACTGTGCTTTTGAAGTCTTAGCCATAAAATCTTTACCTGGACCAACGTCCTGAAGTGTTTTCCCTATGTTTTCTTCTAGTAGATTTATAGTTTCAGGTCTTATGTTTGTCTTTAAGCCATTTTGAGTTGAGTTTTGTACATTGTGAGAGATAGGGGTCTAGTTTTATTCTTCTACCTATGGATATCCTGTTTTCCCAGCATCATTTATTAAAGAGGATGTTCTTTCCCCAGTGTTTGTTCATGATGCCTTTGTCAAAAATCAGTTGACTGTAAACACATGGATTTATTTCTGGATTCTCCAGTCTGTTCTATTGGTCTGTGTCTATTTTTATACCAATAGCCTGCTGTTTTGATTACTACACCTTTGTAGTAAATTTTGAAGTCAGGTGGTGTGGTACCTCTAAGCTTTGTTCTTTTTGCTCATTATTGCTTTGGCTATTAAGTATCTTTTGTGGTTCCATACAAATTTTCAGATTGTTTTTTCTATTTCTGTGAAGAATGTCATTGGTATTTTGATAGGGATTGCACTGAATCTGTGGATTGCTTTGAGTAGTACAGTCATTTAACAATACTCTTCCAATCCATGAGCATGGGATGCCTTTCCATTTGTTTGTATCCTTTTCAATTTTTTTTCTTTTTTTTTTTTTTTTTGAGATGGAGTCTTGCTCTGTCGCCCAGGCTAGAGTGCAGTGGCACGATCTCGGCTCACTGCAACCTCCGCCTCCCAGGTTCAAGGAATTCTCCTGCCTCAGCCTCCGGAGTAGCTGGGACTACAGGCGCCTGCCACCACGCCCGGCTAATTTTTTATTTATTTTAGTAGAGATGGGGTTTCACCATCTTGGCCAGGCTGGTCTCGAACTTCTGACCTTGTGATCCACCCGCCTCAGCCTCCCAAAGTGCTGGGATTACAGGTGTGAGCCACGGCGCCCGGACTTCAATTTTTTTTTATCAGTGTCTTATAGTTTTCATTGTAAAGGCCTTTCACTTAATTATTAGTAATTAAGTTTTGGGGGGGTCAAACGTTATATGTGAATTTTCTAGTGTGCAGGGTTTTGGCATCCATAGCCTCCACATTCTTCAAGGATCAACTGTATTTTGTTGAGGATTTTTGCATCTATGTTTATCAGGTATATTGGCCTGTAGTTTTCTTTTGTTGTTGTGTGTGTCCTAGTCTGGTTTTGGTGTCTGGGTAACGCTGGCCTCATAGAATGAGTTAGAAAAAAATTCTCTTCAATTTTTAGGAATAGTTTGAGAAGAATGGGTGTTAGTTCTTTATAAATTGGTAGAATTCCACAGTAAAGCCATCTGGTCCTGAGCTTTTCTCTGTTGAGAGACTTTTAATTATTGATTCAATGTGGTTACTCATCATTGATCTCTTCAGGTTTTCTATTTTTTTCCTGGTTCAATCTTGGTAGGTTGTTTGTGTCCAGGAATTCATAGATATCCTCTAGGGTTTCCAATTTGTTAGTGTATAGTTGTTCATAATAGTTTCTAATGATCCCTTGTATTTCTGTGATATCAGTTGTATGTCTCCTTTCTCATTTCTAATTTTATTTGGGTCTTCTCTCTTTTTTTCTAGGTTAGTCCTGGTAGTGGCTTATTGATTTTTTTTTTTTTTTTCTCACACACCAAGCACAGGTTTGTGGATTTTGTTTATATTTTTTAAAAAACAAGTTTTTATTTCATTGACCCTTTGTTTCCCTTTTTTAGTCTCTATTCTGTTTAGTTCTGCTCTGATCTTTATGTTTCTTTCCTTTGGGTTTGGTTTATTCTTGCTTTTCTAGCTCCTTGAGGAGCATCATGAGGTTGTTTACTTGAAGTCTTCCTACTTTTTTTGATGTAGGCATTTGTTGTTATATAGTAGGCTATTAATGACTGTTCCAATAATTTTGGCTTCCAAATGATTGGAAACTGAAAGCATGCAAGGCCGGTGTGGTGGCTCACACCTGTAATCCCAGCACTTTGGGAGGCAGAGGCAGGCAGATCACCTGAGGTCAGGAGTTCAAGTACAGCCTGGCCAACATGGTGAAACCCCGTCTCTACTAAAAATACAAAAATTAGCTGGGTGTGGTGGCGGGTGCCTGTAATCCCAGGAGGCAGAGGTTGCAGTAAGCCAAGATCGCACCATTGCACTCCAGCTTGGGCAACAAGAACGAAACTCCGTCTCAAAAAATAAATAAATAAATAAATAAAAGCATGCAGGATATCAGTCACTTATAACAGTCATTTTTTCCCCAATTTTATGGAATTGCATGGAATTTTTTTTTCATCTATTCATTTTCAGTCTATGTGTGTCTTTACGGGTGAAGTGAATTTCTGATAGGCAGCATACAATTGGGTCTTTTTTTTTTTTGGACAGGGTGGTGGTAACAGCAATCTGTTTGGGCCAGTCCCCAGGCCCCTGGGTGGCGTGCTGGTACTGACTGGCAGCAGCAGGCTGGGTGGGCCAGTGCCTGGGCCTCTGGGAGATGCACACAGGAATCAGTGGTAGGCAAGGTGGACCTGTCCTTGGGCTCCTGGACAGTGTGCATGTGTGGCATGCACACCAGTGGCAGTGAAGTGGGTGGATCAATCCCTAGGTCTCTGGACAGTACACATGGACGGCAGCAGTAGGTGGGGTGAGCCCATCCTCAGGTCCCTGGAAGGCGTGCATGTGTGCTGACAGTGCAGGTCAACCCCCAGACCCCTGGATGACATGCATGGGTACTAGCATTGACATCAGTAGGTAGGGTGGGACCCTTAGGCCCCTGGATGGTGCACACGGGTGGTGATGGTGGTGGGCTGGGCAGATTGAATCTCAGGCCCCTGGATGATGTGCACAGGTGCTGGCAGCAATGGTGGTGGTGAAGGGCAGGGCAGGCCTGTTTTCAGCCCCCCAGATGGTGTGCATGGGCACTGGCAGTGGCAGATAGGATGGATTGATCCCCAGGCCCTGGAAGGCATGCTCGGGCACCAGTGGCAATGGTGGTGGGCAGGGCGAGCCTGTCCTCAGATGTCCTCTGCACCTGCAACCGATGTGTGGGCTATTTCCACACAGCCAGTGGAGTGGGAGAGAATGGTAGCCCCACCAAAGAAAAATAATTCATGACCAGTATTTTTTCAGTTTTTTTCCCCCAGCTTTATTGAGGTATAATTGACAAATAAAAATAGAGTATACTCAGCCGGGCACGGTGGCCCACGCCTGTAATCCCAGCACTTTGAGAGGCCAAGGTGGGCGGATCACTTGAGGCCAGGAGTTCAAGACTAGCCTGGCCAACATGTTGAAACCCTCCACTAAAAATACAAAAATTAGCTGGGCATGGTGGTGGGCGTCTGTAATCCCAGCTACTTGGGAGGCTGAGGCAGGAGAATTGCTTGAACCTAGGAGATGGAGGTTGCAGTGAGCCGAGATCATGTCACTGCACTCCAGTCTGGGTGACAAGAGCAAAACTCTGTCTCAAACAAACAAACAAACAAAAAAAGTATATATTTTCTCACACTTGTAATCCCAGCACTTTGGGAGGCCGAGGTGGGAGGATCACCTGAGGTCAGGAGTTCGAGACTAGCCTGGCCAACATGGTGAAACCCCTCTCTACTAAAAATACAAAAATTAGCCAGGTGTGGTGGTGCACACCTGTAGTTCCATCTACTCAGGAGGCTGAGGCAGGAGAATTGCTTGAGCCTGGGAGGCGGAGGTTGCAGTGAGCCGAGATCACTCCACTGCACTCCAGCCTGGGTGACAGAATGATACTCCGTCTCAACATAAAAAAGGAAAACAAACAAACAACAACAACAAAAAACAAAAAACAAACCCAAGGGACTTCTGATGTGAGTATCCACTGAAGCTTACTACAGGTCCACATAGCATTCTGGTTAACTGTGGACATCTTGAGTACCAGTTCTACTGGATCTACTGGATCATAAGGCCCAAAGTACAGAGTGGCCTGCCTTGCAACTGGATCTCTTAAGCTGTCTTCTCTTGCCCTAAATGCCCCTCAAAGCTGGCAGCACTTCTAGTCCTGACGAGCAGAACATTCAAATGTGGCCAGTGTTGACTCCAAAATTCAGAGGTTCACCATGCAACATGTCTCCTTTTTAGAGATAAAGAATGCAAGGTACAGTAACTTGTCCATCATTTTTTTGGTGAAAAGACAATCTGCCAGGCTCAGTGGCTCATGCCTATAATCCCAGCACTTTGGGAGGCCAAGGTGGGCAGATCACTTGAGCCCAGGAGTTTGAGACCTGCCTGGGCAACATGGTGAAACCCTGTCTCTACAAAAAAATATAAAATTAGCCAGGAGTGGTGGCATGCGCCTGTGGTCCCAGCTACTCAGGAGGCTGAGGTGGGAAGATCGCTTGAGCCTGGGAGGTCTACGCTGCAGTGAGCTGAGATTGCACCACTGTACTCCAGCCTGGGTGACAGAGCAAGACTCAGTCTCAAAAAAAAAGAAAAAAAAAAAAAAGACAAACTGTTTTGGTATTACTATAAGAACAACACACATATTTACAGAAGACCGGGCATTCATGTGATGCCCTTTCTACCTTCGTGGCCAAATTTATGCAGTCACACTTCACTGTGTCATCTTCTCCTTGGGAAATATTTCTCCTTCACTTTTCTTGAGTAAAAATTTCACAAAGTGTACAAATCTTTTTTTTTTTCTTTCCCCGAGACAGAGTCTTGCTTGTTGCCCAGGCTGGAGTGCAGTGGTGCGATCTTAGCTCACTGCAACCGCCGCCTCCTTGGTTCCAGCGATTCTCCTGCTTCAGCCTCCCGAATAGCTGGGATTACAGGTGCCTGCCACCATGCCCAGCTGATTTTTTTTTTTTTTTTTTTTTTTTTTTTTTTGAGACGGAGTCTCGCTCTGTCGCCCAGGCTGGAGTGCAGTGGCGGGATCTCGGCTCACTGCAAGCTCCGCCTCCCGGGTTCACGCCATTCTCCTGCCTCAGCCTCCCAAGTAGCTGGGACTACAGGCGCCCGCCACTACGCCCGGCTAATTTTTTTGTATTTTTAGTAGAGACGGGGTTTCACCGTTTTAGCCGGGATGGTCTCGATCTCTTGACCTCGTGATCCGCCCGCCTCGGCCTCCCAAAGTGCTGGGATTACAGGCGTGAGCCACCGCGCCCCAGCTGATTTTTGTAGTAGAGATGGGGTTTCCCCATGTTGGCCAGGCTGGTCTTGAACTCCTGACCTCAGGTGATCTGCCTGCCTCAGCCTCCCAAAGTGCTAAGATTATATGTGTGAGCCACTGACCATGCCTGGCCAATTTTTTTGTATTTTTAGTAGAGATGGGGTTTTGCCATGTTGGCCAGGCTGGTCTCAAACTCCTGAGCTCTAGCATTCCGCCTGCCTTGGCCTCTCAAAGTGCTGGGATTATAGGCGTGATCCACCACAACGGGCCATGAAGATAGTCTATTTGAAAATACATAATGAGAGGAGAAAAAGGAATGAAAAAGAATGAGGATCACCTACAAGATGTAGAAAACTACCTCAGTAGACCAAATCTAAGAATTATTGGTGTTCAAGAGGGAGTTGAGCAAGAGCAAGGGGTAGAAGAAAGCTTATTGAAAGAAGTAATAACAAGCTGGTATGGTAGCTCGTGCCAGTAGTTCCAATGTTTTGGGAGGCCGAGGCAGGAGGATTGCTCAAGGCCAGGAGTTCATGACCAGCCTGGGCAACATAGTGAGACCTTGTCTCTACAAAAAAGAAGATAAAAAATTAGGGAGGCATTACAGGTGGTGCACACCTGTAATCCCAGCTACTTGGGGGCTGAGGCAGGGAGGATCACTTGAGTTCAAGAGTTTACAGCTACAGTGAGCTGTTAACGTGCTACTGCACTACAGCATGGGCAACAGAGTGAGACCTTGTCTCCATGTCTCCAAAAAAAGAATAATAACAGAAAACTTTCCCAAACTTGAGAAAGATATAAATATCCAGTTACAGGAAGGCCAAAGAACAGATTTGACCCTCTCCTCTTCCCAAAAAACACTTGAAAGTATAAAACCTATTGGTAAAATTAAGTACACAAACCTATTTAATAGCCTAATATTGTATGTGGAATGCAATCCACTCATAACTCTAGTATGAAGCCCAAAAGACAAATCTATCAAAACAATAATAGCCATAGCAGTTTGTTAAGAGATACATAATAAAAAAATATGTAAATTGGCCGGGCGCGGTGGCTCATGCCTCTAATCCCAACACTTTAGGAGGCCGAGGTGGGCAGATCACCTGAGGTAGGGAGTTTGAGGCCAGCATGACCAACATGGAGAAACCCCATCTCTACTAAAAATACAAAAATTACCCAGGCGTGGTGGCGGGTGCCTGTAATCCCAGCTGCTCGGGAGGCTGAGGCAGGAGAATCGCTGGAACCCAGGAGGCAGAGGCTGCAGTGAGCTGAGATCATGCCACTGCACTCCAGCCTGGGCAACAAGAGCGAAACTCTGTCTCAAAAAAACAAAAAACAGAAACAAACAAAAAAACACACATTCTTTTCAAAAAAGCACATGGAAGAGAAAAAAGCACATGGAACACATTCACTAAGATACTATATTGTGGGTCGTAAAACAACATCTAATTGATAAAACAATTTCACATTCCTTATCAAAATTCCAGCAGAAATTTTTATAGATATAAACAAACTGATTCTAAAAACACACTTGTAATCCCAGCACTTTGGGAGGCTGAAGCGGGTGGATCACTTGAGGTCTTGAGTTTGAGACCAGATCAGCCCGGCTAACATGGCAAAACCCCGTCTCTACTAAAAAAAAAATACAAAAACTAGTCGGGTGTTGTGGTGGGTGCCCCTAATTCCAGCTACTCCGGAGGTTGAGGCAGGAGAATCACTTGAACCCGGGAGACAGAGGTTGCAGTGAGCTGAGATCGTGCCACTGCACTCCAGCCTGGGTGACAGAGCAAGAATCTGTCAAAAAAAAAAAAAAAACCCGAAAAACAAAAACCCAGAAAATAACAAGTGTTGACAAGGATGTGAAGATATTGGAACCCCCCTGTGCACTGTTGGTAATAATTTAAAATGTTGCCGCTGCCATGGAAAAACAGTATGGTTGTTCCTTAAAAATTTAAAATAAAATTATATGATCCAGAAATTCCATTTCTGTGTACGTATCCAAAAGAATTGAAAGCAGGGGCTCGAGGAGGTATTTGCACACCCATGTTTGTAGCAGCAGTATTCACAGTAAGCAACAGGCGGAAGAAACCCAACGTTCATGAATGGATGAATGGATAAATGTGGCATGTACATACTGTGAAATATTACTCAGCCTTCAAAAGGAAGGAGGCTGCGTGTGGTGGCTCACGCCTGTAATCTCAACACTTTGGGAGGCCACAGTGGGAGGATCATTTGAGCCTAGGAGTTTGAGACCAGCCTGGGCAACAGAGCAAGACCCAATCCCTATTTCTAAAAAAAAAAAAAAAAAAAAAAAGAAGAGTGGTAGCTGCCAAGGGCTGGGGAGCGGGGAGCAACGGAGAGTTTTCGTTTGATTTCTTGGGTAGATAATAGCCCTATGCTTATGCTGAAAATGACTTTGTTCTGAAGAAATATATGCTTAAGTATTGAGAGATGAAGTGTCTTGATGTCTGCAACTTACTTTTTTTTTTTTTTTTTTTTTTTTTTTTGATACGGAGTCTCACTCTGTTGCCCAGGCTGGAGTGCAATGGCGTGATCTCGGCTCACCACAACCTCCACCTCTCAGGTTCAAGCAATTCTCCTGCTTCAGCCTCCCAAGTGTCTGGGATTACAGGTGAGTGCCACCACACCCGGCTAATTTTTTTGTATTTTAAGTAGAGACTTGGTTTCGCCATGTTGGCCAGGCTGGTCTCGAACTCCTGACCTCAGGTGATCTGCCCGCCTCAGCCTCCCAAAGTGCTGGGATTACAGGCATGAGCCATTGCACCCGGCTTGTTAAGTTTATTTCTTAAATAATGTAATCGGTCTGGGCGCGGTGGCTCATGCCTGTAATTCCAGCACTTTGGGAGGCCGAGGCGGGTGGATCACCTGAGGTCGGGAGTTTGAGACCAGCCTGACCAAAATGGAGGAACCCCATCTCTACTAAAAATACAAAATTAGCCAGGCGTGGTGGCGTGTGCCTGTAATCCCAGCTACTGGGGAGGCTGAGGCAGGAGAATTGCTTGAACCTGGGAGGCGGAGGTTGGGGTGAGCCGAGATCAAGCCATTGCACTCCAGCCTGGGCAACAATAGCGAGACTCTGTCTCAAAAAAAAAAAAAAAGTCAAATTCACCAATCTTATCCTTTCCATTTTTGAGGGCCCTGTCACTATCTTGATGCGTCTGCCCTCTGCTGGAGATAAGGGGAGCTGCAGGGCAGGTCTTGGTCTCCTCCAGCAATTCATTCCCTGCGTGAGTGTTATTTGGCAGTTAATTCTTCTCAGTCTATGATGTGAGTTTAAGACTATTCTCTGGTTTCCCTAAAATAATAGTAATAATAATAATAATAACGTGGCTGGGCGCGGTGGCTCACGCCTGTAATCCCAGCACTTTGGGAAGCCAAGGTGGGCAGATCACCTGAGGTTGGGAGTTCGAGATCAGCTTGACCAATATGGTGAAACCCTGTCTCTACTAAAAATACAAAAATATTAGCTGGTGCATGCCTGTAATCCCAGCTACTTGGGAGGCTGAGGCAGGAGAATTGCTTGAACCCGGGAGGCAGAGGTTGCAGTGAGCCGAGATTGAGCCATTGCACTCCAGCCTGGGCAACAAGAGCAAAACTCCATCTCAAAATAAATAAATAAATAAATAAATAAAAGAATAACATGTAACATCTATTAAGCACAAACTGTGTTGCAGTCAGTGAGCTTAGCTTTACATCAGTTTCTCATTTAATTGCCACAATACCCTTATAGGTACATACTAGTATTGTTTAATCTCTATTTTACTTTTGAGGAAACTGAGGCACAGAGGGACTAAGAAATGTTCTCAAAGATATGCAGATAGTAAGAGGGAGAAGCTGGGATTCAAATTTAAACCCAAGCAGGTTGCATCAGGCTTGTTACCATAAATCTATTTTTTTGATTTATTTATATGGATTTCTGGGTAGAAGCAGTAAATGGGGCAACAATTTAAATACTCTCCCATCTCTCTTGGGGATTTTTTTTATAAAGTCATATTTTATTTCTATTATAAACTCACAAAAGGGCCCAGAGAGCCCAGAAGTGTGACTCAATCAGCTCAAGTCGCCGAAGCAGCTTTTCCCCTTAACAGTAGTTAATATATTTGCAAAGATCATCCAAAAACAAACACACCCTTAAATATCACCAGGTCAGGAAGTAACTGAAATACTGAACATTTGTTAACTTCTTTTCTTTTCCTCTTTTTTTTGAAGATAGGGTCTCGCTCTGTTGCCTAGGCTGGAGTCCAGTGGTGTGATCATGGTTCACTGCAGTCTCAACCTACCAGGCACAAGCCATCCTCCCACCTCAGCCTCCCAAGTAGCTAGGACCACAGGTGTACACCACCATGCCCAGCTAATTTTTAATTTTTTTTTTTTTTAATAGAGATGGGTTTCCCTATGTTTCCCAGACTAGTCTCAAACTTCTGGGCTCAAGCGATCCTCCCACCTCAGCCTCCCAAATTGTTGGGATTACAGGTGTGAGCCACTGTACCTGGCCTAACATTTTTTTCTAAGGGCTAAATGTCACAGTAGTAACATATTCAGAGGGAAAAAACCCAAATGTCTCATACAAGAAAATGACAGTCCTGATAAACAATGCGAAGAGGGATGTAGAATATCTGTTTATAAACTGCTGTTTTCTTTTTTTTTGGTGGGGGGGTGGGGGTGATGGAGTCTCTCTCCATTGTCCAGGCTGCAGTGCACCTCCGCCTCCTGGGTTCAAGCGATTCTCCTGCCTCAGCCTCCCCAGTAGCTGGGATTACAGGTGTGCACCACCACGCTCAGCTAATTTTTGTATTTTTAGTAGAGACACAGTTTCACTACGTTGGCCAGGTTGGTCTCGAACTCCTGACCTCAAGTGATCCACCTGCTTCAGCCTCCCAAATTGCTAGGATTATAGGTGTGAGCCACTGCGCCTGGCCTGGGGAAAGATTTTTTTTGAGACAGAGTTTTGCTCTGTCGCCCAGGCTGGCATGCAATGGCATGATCTCGGCTCACTGCAACCTCCGCCTCTTGGGTTCAAGCGATTCTCCTGCCTCAGCCTCCCAAGTAGCTGGGATTACAGGCACGTGTCACCACGCCAGGTTAATTTTTGTATTTTTGTAGAGACGGGGTTTCACCATGTTGGCCAGGCTGATCTTGAACTCTTGACCTCAGTTGCTCCACCCACCTCAGCCTCCCTAAGTTCTGGGATTAAAGGCATGAGCCACCGTGCCTGGCCCAGGGAAAGATTTTTAAGGCCAGAGGAAGGGCAAATTCACTTTTCTCGCTTCTGGGGCATTTCTGGCAGCTGTAGTGGGCACCTACATTCCTGCAGTTCCAACAGCAGCAGCAGGGGTGCCAGCAATAGCACCTGGGGGCACTGACTGGTAGTGCCAGAAGGCTGTGTAGTAGGCATGGTTGACGTTTGTATCTGTTTCAGATTTCCCAGCCACACAACCTCACTCCCAGACCATTTCTCTCCCTCAGTAGCCAGCATTAAAAAAAAAAAACAAAAAAGTGACCTGTAACACAAATTCCCAGAGAACTTCAACCTCACACCTGTGTTTTCACTCTCAGTGAGGGGAAATGCATTTGGGGAGGATTGTTGTGACCACAGAGCCACTGTGGAGTACCGCATAAGACTGGGGCTTATGCAGCTCTGACTTTTTTTTTTTTTTGTACTGTCACCTGGCCTGGAGTGCAGTGGATCTGGGCTCACTGCAATCTCTGCCTCCCAGGTTCAAGTGATTCTCTTGCCTCAGCCTTCCAGCTGGGATTCCAGGCGCCACCATGCCCAGCTAATTTTTTATATTTTTAGTAGAGACGCGTTTTCACCATGTTGGCCAGGCTGTTCTCGAACTCCTGAGGTGATTCACCTGCCTCCGCCTCCCAAAGTGCTGAGATTACAGGCGTAAGCCACCGCGCCCGGCCACAGCTCTGACCTTTTAATGTCACTTTCCTGGGCCCTTTTGTGGCACTATGGTGGGATTCTTCAAGTTCTTGACTTTGAGGTCCTGTAAACTGAACCATGAGGCTGACTCTGGTAGTGTTCCCTTTATAAAAACATCACATATATTGTTTATGCGCCTACCTGCACTAAGGAAATATTCACTAAAGCACCTGACAGGGGAAATGACAGCATCATGGCTAGGCCTGCCTGTCTCAGGTTTTTGGGATTGCAATATTACTCTTGACTTCCTATTTGGGAAAGAAAAATAATTCCAAACTTAACCCTTTCTGCCAAAGTTGCTCTTATTTCAGCAGTCAGCTGGCCTTCCTTCCTAGTTGTCCATTTCAACTCCGTACTTGTCAGAGTTGGGGAAATAACCACAGGGTAAGTGCAGGAGGTAACATTTCCCAAAGATTTCAGGGAATACTGGATAACTGTGATTGTTCCATGCGGAAAATTTGGAGTATGTTGGAAAAATATGAGGAATGACTTTAGGTGTAATGACGTCTAGGGTGGTCTCCTTGATGGAACAGATTAATTGGGCAAATGCATTCTTCTCTTGTCCTACCCACCTGGACCACTATAAGCAGCTTGCCTTCACCTAGAAGCAGCACACCTTCACAATTCAGCCCGAGAGATTAACAACTCTACAGTTTTGCATAACCAGATCCTCAAGACCTACACCACCCATCTCCAGGACAACATGCGGGGGCCAGTCATTGACATCATGCTTATTCTAGACAACTGGAAGGGGCAAGAATCCCGTTTCGTGGTAAAACATCTATACTTGATTGGGTCCTTCGGGAAAAACTTGCCACTCACAAATTGCTGGTCCATCCTGTCTATCCCACAAAGCCTGGTGGACCTCCTCCCATCTTAGTGAAAGCACTTACATTTGGGTGTTCTGCTCCAAATGCATTTACCAGCTAGACCCCAAATCTACCACCCACAAGTGGAGCCTTGAGCAAGATATTCTCTTGGTGGTCCAGGCTGCAGCATGATTCTGGCAACTCTCCCCCTTAAAACCTTGCAGAGCTCATTGTCTGTAACAGATCCAAGCCCTACTAGGAACTTGAGGTAAGGATCTGAAGAGACCCTGGTGTTTTGAGCAAGGCCATGCCCATCAGGTTAACTATCCAGGGTTCTGCGGAGATCAGGCATCACTACCCTGGGGCATCACATGACTCTGCAACCTGGACTGGTTGGGATCTGAGAGGCTACCTGTGCACCTGGCTGCACTCAATGTTCCATTAGAAGCAGGTACAGATGGCACTGGGTTTGAGTTAACCCTGAAGGTACCAGTAAGCTGCCTAGTGGTGCCTACACCAGCAAGGTGGCTGTGGGTAGAGAATAAAAACGTGACACTTGGTTCCCAGGTGGTTCTGCATGACATAACAGCATCAGCAGTGAATGCTGAGTTCCAGCCCCATGCTGGACAGCAGTGGAATCAGCCCAAAGACAGAGCTTCAAGGTCAGTGTGTCCTCTGTCTGAACAGACAGATGGCTTACGTCTGGATCCCGGTACAGAGGCCTTGGAAAGAATAAAACTGGAAGATGGAGACAAGGAGGTCCAGGGAGGAGTACGTTACATAAAACTGGACTTCCTAACACAGGCCTATGTGCCACATCACCAAAGGCTTCCAATGCAGGGGTCCAGATGGCCCACTCTTCACCATGACGAAGCCCGAGGCCATGGAAGACATCATCAAACCACTGCCCACGTGTGCCCATCAGGTCTCACTCCAGATGCCTCGCACCTAAAAGCAGGGATGCCACTGTGCTCTGGCCAGAGTTGATGCTGGGGGAGAAGAGCTAGTACCAGCCTAAGGAGGGAGGCCAAGGTTCTCAGGAGTGCAGTGCTCTGAGGAGGGCTGGGTGCCAGGCACCACCTCTGCTTGTACCTTATTACCTGCTTTCTCACCTGCAATAAGAGTGGCCCATACACCCTAAAAGGTTTTCATTTCGGCCGGGCGCGGTGGCTCACGCCTGTAATCCTAGCACTTTGGGAGGCCGAGGCGGGCGGATCACGAGGTCAGGAGATCGAGACCATCCTGACTAACACAGTGAAACTACGTCTCTACTAAAAATATAAAAAATTAGCCAGGCGTGTTGGCAGACGCCTGTAGTCCCAGCTACTTGGGAGGCTGAGGCAGGAGAATGGCGTGAACCCGGGAGGCAGAGCTTGCAGTGAGCAAGATCGTGCCACTGCACTCCAGCCTGGGCAACATAGTGAGACTCTGTCTCAAAAAAAAAAGAAAGAAAAAAAAAGGTTTTCATTTCTTGGGGGTCCCTAGGCCTTCCCTGCAAAGAAGTGGGAGACATGGAGAGAAGCTGGAGTTCATGTGCATGGCAGCAAACGGAAGCTGCTCTGGTTGAGAAACATTCCTCCAGCTCATCCCAGACACTGCTTGAGGGCCTGCATCTGAACAGGGACTATGGATCTATATACTCTCTTCATCATCACAGGTAGTCCCAGTACCCATAGAGGTTGGTCCAAGTGCTTGCTAAGCCACACTAACCTCATAAAATCTTGGTCAACCATGTCTCCCCTGCCAGCAGCCATCTGCTGGGTGGCCCAAGGGCAATGGCAATGCCAGGGCAAATGTAGGTCACTGAGGCCATGGGTGGAGAGACCCACTCCTAATGGCCTCCCTGCTTTTAAGTCACACACCTGCTAATCCTAGCCTAGAATATTTAATTCTTCATGGCTTCATTACCTGTAAGGCAAAATACAACCTCTTTGTGGAACCCAGAAAAAAATGGGGTCTCCTCTTTGCCTTCTGGGTCTTGGATACACCAGACTCTGGCCAGCAAAGCACAGTATAGAGCAGAGGCAGGCGCCTGGCCAATGGTTAGCTTGTGGCTCAGGTCCTGGGTGACACAGGCTAGAGTCCTAAAGCTCCAGATGAGAGATCACTACACTTTTCCTGTAAAAAGTTAAAGATTTTAGTCTTTGGGATTCATATGGTCTCTGTTGCAACTACTCACCTTTGCCACTGTAGTAAAAAGAAGTCAATGAGTGGGTGTGGCTGTGTTCCAACAAAACTTTATTTACAAAAACAGGAAGCAGGCACGTTTGGCCCTCAGACTGTAATCTTCCCATCACTACTCTTAATGATACTCAGATGACCTGGCTGCCTGAGGGGGCTGTGGCCCTGTCTGATTCTCTGTGAGATGGAAACCACTCTAGGGTCTCCTGGTGCGCTGAGGCTGTACACACCGGCAGAACAGGGCACTGCGTTTGGAAGTTTCTGACCAAGTGGTGACAGCAGAGGGCAAAACGTGAAGGCTGTGCTGGATAAGGCTGAACCTTCCTCATAAGCAACACCAACTGCTTTATTCCAGGTCAGGGCCAACTCTTCCGCCATGATACATACATGGTCCCTGGCGGGCACTGTCCTTACTGGGCCCCTAGGAGTCCCTGCGTTGTGGCCTGACCACCAGCCCCTCTCTGGTGATGGCCCAGTTGTAGTTCTTCCGGGAGTCCAATGCTGCTTCCACCCGTGCCTCCAGGTTCTCTCGGGTGATGAAGTTTTTCACCTCTTCCTATCGGGAGAGAAAAGCCCAGCTGAACAGGAGCCTTGGGCACATGCCAGCCAGCCCACCCAGCCTGCTGGCCTCTCACCCCACTGAGAAAGCAGCTCCTGCTCTCCCTGGGGAAGCATGCCTGGAACCCAGGTCCTATTTGAGAGCCCCTCTGGCCTCCCAGTGGAGTGATATCAGGTTGCTTTTCCACGTTCCTCTTTTCTCAGACACTTCAGCCATAGCCCCGAGTGCCAGCTATGAAAATCTCACGTCCTGGTAGGTGAAATCCGTCCCTCAGTGGTCCCCTCTGAATCACTCTAACTCATCCTTCCCCCCATTACTTTATTTATTTATTTATTTATTTATTTTGAGACGGAGTCTCACTGTCGCCCAGGATGGAGTGCAGTGGCGCCATCTCGGCTCACTGCAACCTCTGCCTCCTGGGTTCAAGCGATTCTCATGCCTCAGCCTCCCGAGTAGCTGCGATTACTGGCGCACACCACGCCCGGCTAATTTTTGTATTTTTAGGAGAGACGGGGCTTGGCCAGGCTGGACTCGAACTCCCGACCTCAAGTGATACGCCCGCTTCGGCCTCCCATAGTACTGGGATTACAGGCGTGAACCACCGCTCCCAGCCACCCTTCTATACTTTAAATCAAGCCTCATCCATTCTCACTGCATTACTCCTAAGTGGTCTCCCTGCTTTTAAGTCGCACACCTGCTAATCCTAGCCTGAAATACTTAACCCTTCATGGCTTCATCACCTGTTATGCAAAATACAACCTCTTTGTGGAACGCAGGGTCCCTCCCACAGACCTGCTAGGTACCTGAACACTGTCCAATTACTCCGCTCACCTCCGGGTCTTTGCGCCTGACTGGCACTCTCCTCTCCAAATCCGGACCTGCCAACTGTAAGTCTCTGCACATAGCCAGCGCCCGCGTCGCGGTGCCCAGAATTCCCAGTGCCCCGCAAGCCGCGTCCCCGGCTGGAGTCCCACCCTCCGGAGACGTTGCCCACCTGCAGCTGCAGCACTTCCCGCTCCTTGCGCTGCGCCCAGGCCTGCACCTCTTCGGCCTTGCGGGCCTGCTCCAACGCCTGCCGCTGCTCCTGCTCCCGCTCCTCCTGCCGCAGCCTCGCTATCCTGTGAGGGTCAAAGGGCCGAGGCTGAGCGGGGCCCGGGCTTCTCCCAGGCCGGCCAGGCCGCGCCGCCCCGCCCCGCCTCCCGCCCCACGCACCGCAGCTCGTGCAGCCGCCGGTTCTCCGCCTGGTTCCAGGCCATCAGCTCGCGGTGCTCGGCGGCGTCCTTCAGGGCCTTGCGCTCCGCCAGAACCCCGGCTCGGGCCTCGTGCACCTTCCTCTGCACCTCGGACACGAACTCCATCCTGGGTGCAGACGCGCCAGGAATCAGCACCCTCTCCGCCCACTCCCACCGTCACCAGCGCGCGCGGGCGGCCACCTCCCCCCGGCCGCACACCTGAGGGCGCGCACGGTCTGGCGGTAGTGCTGGTAACGCTCCATCAGCACGAAGAACTCCGCAGGGTCCACCGCGGGCGGCATGTTCACTCGCTCGATCTTGGATTTGGCCAGCGGGTCGTGGCGGGTCTTGCGGCCGCGCGCTGGCAGCACCAGAGGGGCCCGGGGCCTGCACGGGGTCCCCGCGCCCAGGCGGCTCAGCGCGCGTAGCATGGCCGAGTCTCCTCACTGCGGCCGCGGTGCCGGGACGCCACCGTGCCCCGGAAGCGGCGCGGGGAACCTTGGGACCTGTAGTCCTCGGGCTGTCCCTCACGCCCCGCCCGGCCGTGTGGCCTCTGGAACCGAAGCGGCGACCCTGCGGACGTCCGCATCCCGCCCCCAGGCTCTGGCCCGGCCTTCCCGCCAGGGCCCGGGGCCATCCCTTAGTTACTCCCGCCCGCGGGGCCGGACCCGCGTCCCTCCAGCCCCCACGCAGGGAAGGGTCTCAGCGGGGAAGACAGGGAGGGGACGAAGGACAGAACTCGACGCAACAGCTTCGGAGAACCTCACACTTTATTGGAGGATGGCGGGGCGGGGCGGGGCTCTCGGGCTGCGGTCTGCGGAGGGAGAGGTGGCGGTCATGTCTCAGGACACTGGTCTCGTAACCGCCGAGCTGCCATCTTCCTGGTTCTCTCCCCTCTCGTCCCCCCCAGTCCCCATGTGGCCTCCCACAGCAGGACGCCCCCCGCCTCCCGTAGAAGCCTGAGGATCCAGCTAGTGTGGGGATCTCCAGCTCCCTTGGGCATGCCCTCTTGTCCACCCTAAACAAGCCTGACGCATAGAAACCTCAGCACATACACACAAATCAGGCGGTAAGACATTGCCTCATAGGAACTAACCACTTTCTTCTTTAGTTACCGGGCTCTCCTGATGCACTGTAAATGTTTGATTTGCAAAACAGTAGCAAACCATTTCCCCACGCCTGTCTTCTGCTATGGTCTTGGGGAGCTCTGCAGTCCCTGAGATGTTCCTAGTGCACATGTCAGTCACCACCTGGTCCTCTTGGCCCTGTTGTCTGTTTGAGTGAGGTTGCATCCCTCACCTCTTTCCACTGGCCTGGGGTCTGTCCACCTCAAGACAGTCATTGGCTTGTCAGGATGCCTGTGGGATCCCATGGCCACCACTGTCTTATAGAACAATTATCTCCTTCTAGTCTACTAGTGACTTTGGTCTTTAACCCAAGTGCTTTGTAAATTGTCTAGAATCCTCCTGGGAAATAGGAAGGATAGCAGACAGCACCCTGCTGTGTGCAGTAGGGGCACTGAGAAATGGCTGGGGGTGCTGTGGCAGGGGGCATCTCAGTGGTGTTTCATTCTCCCCACCCTCCCAGCACCCAACCCTAAGCCACAATGGCCTCTGATGACCAGTGGCTGGTCTTGATGCTGGGGACCTCTCACCCTACTCACCAGCAGTGTCCGTGCCAGGTGTCGCTTCCTGTGAAGGGACCACTGGGCCGTGGTCCTGCCCTCCCAGGGCATGCTGTCGTCCAGGGGAGCCAGGGCATCACTTGGGAGGCCATGGGCAGTCTGGACTGGGCTGCCTGCTGCAGTGTCCAGGGCCCTTCCTTAGAAGGGAACTGATGCTGTCCTCCCTACCCCGACCTCAGGCTCCAGGAGGGTGGGGGAGCCCCCGGCCATCACTTTCTTCCTCCCCATGAGGCTGGGAGACACCCACCTGGGGGCCTAAGGGCATTCTGGGGATCCTGGGCTGAGCTGAGGGCTCGCTTTCCTCCAGGGTACCAGCCATGGGACCAGTGCTGAGCCTCTGAGGGTCCAAGGTGGGCAGTCAGCAGCAGCAGGAGCAGGAGGCCTCGCCTGGAGCTGGCCATGGCTGCTCTAATGGACAGGGTACAGCATTCAAGGAGACTTACCTCACCCCCACATCCCCCTACTTCCTCCAGGGCCACTTTGGAAAACTGGCATCTCAGGGGCAGCTTTGGTATCTCCTTATGCCCTTCCCTCTCTGCCACCGCTCCTCATCCCAAGCATACAGGGGTCCAGATCCTGGGGGATCCTGGCCCAGCAGGGGATGATGCTCCAGGGGACGAGCCTTCTCCCTGAGCCTGGGGCACAGAGGCTACCTGCCTTGCCAGCTCTGAGGGCCCTCCCACTTGTCCAGGTCCATCCATCTTTCCTTCAAGGAGTTTCCAGAAGTGGAAGAAAGTTGGAGGGGAACAGAGACCTGAATTCAGGCCAATGGATGGGAGGATAGATGGATGGTCAGGGGAGTTCTCAATGTAGGCGTGTTTGGAGCACCAGTGCTAGGGAACCAGAGTTGCAGGCCTTCTGCCCTTTTCTCCGTGGCCTGCTGTATCTCTTCCATAGTAGTTGGGGATGTGGAATGGATGAGTGGTATTGATGGGGGCAAGTGCTTCTACCCCTTATCCCTCCCATGCCAGGGGCAACAAGCACAAGAATAGATGGTAGAGCTGTTGGGGAGAGGAGAGGAAAAGGGGACTTCTCTGGCATGGTTCAGGGGTGGAGGCACCTGGGAATGGGGAAGAGGAGCAGCACACCATACGCCCAGGATGAAACTTGGTCCAGGTGTCCTAGCCCTTAGGGAAGGCTCCCCACTCACCAAGGAAGAGCTGTGGATGAGATGGCTCCTTCAGGCAGCTGCAGGACCCTAGCCTGATGGCCCCAGGATTTATAGACCAGGCAGCTCCACCCCCAGACTCCAGTGACGTCTTCAGAGGGGAAGAGAGAAGCTCACCACCCAACCCGCTTCCCAGAGCATCCAGTCCATGAACATTCACCAGGCAGCTGCTGCCCTGAGGCCACCGACACATGCTCCCTCCCCACCACCTTCCCAGGAGCCTTCAGGCCCAGGACTCTTGCTTTAGGCTGGCCTATGTCCTGGTCTCACCTTCCCACTTCCCAGGCTGCATCTTCAAGCTCCTGATCTTGAGACCTAGAAAGCCCTCACAGCCTTCCCTGATCCCAAAAGAGAATTGTGTCCTGGGCAGGGGCAATGCCTGGGGGCTCCCCAACTCCCAGCTCAGGGCTTTCCCTGGTGGACAGTGGAAGCCTAAGAGTAGGGAGCCTGGCAGGCTGTTCAGAGGTACAGGGGAGGCTGTGACCACTCTCCCAGAGGGCTTCCGTTTGCTCACTGTAGAGTGGGTTGGGTGGGACAATTCACATCCACACACCTGGGAACCAGGGCTGGGTCACTCCAGATGGCTGGGTTTGGGTGGGGCAGTACCTACCCCGGAGTGGCTTCTCTCCTGGCGAAGAAGCGGGCCCATGAGATGGGGCCCAGCTGTTGGGCCAGTGCAGTCTCCCTAGGTAGGTAGAATAATTTTGTCCCTCAAGGCTCTAACCCCTCCCCAGTCATGGATTTGGACACAGCTAGCCTGGGCTGCTGGAAGTGGGCTCTTGCTTCCCAGTCTGCGTCAGCAGCTCAGCTTTCCTTGGCCAGCCATCAGCCTCTGGGGGTCAGAGGCCTGTTTACAGGGTTCATAGCCAATCTCCGCACTTGGGCTGAACAGCAAATGGGAGGGCCAGGGTCATTTGGAGAGCTGGTGCGTCAAATCCTGTGACAAAGATGGGGGAGGGGAGGCATAATGGGCATCAGTCAGCCCTAGACACCTGGACTTCAGCAGCCAAGGCAGGATGGGCACACCTGTGAACTTCCAGACTGACTTATTAGCAGGGACCGGAAATCAACGTGTGGCCCATTTGTTCAGTTAAATTGTTTTGGCTTAAATATGCGGACTTTGTTAACTGGGTGATTTTTAGGGAAACATTTGCTTGTGGTTTAGTGAAAATGAATCTGAGTTCGACGTACTAGTTTAGTTCTGGTTGGGGTTTACAGAATGCTTTCTTCAAAGATGCACCAAGGCTGGTGTACCTTTAAAAGGGGGATGGTTGCCTTTATTTATTCTGTAATTTGATTCCGGCTTTTCCTGAAAAATCTAAACCAGAGCCAAGCTTCCTGGGGAAAGCTCTGCTCCCTTTTTTTTCCGGCAACATACTTAGCTTTTAAGAAATGTTTGGTCCTTTCCAGACTAGAACTGTGGAACTCTTGTATCCCTCTCATTAGAACATAGAAAGCCATCTGTTCACCACGGAGCTCCAGTCCTCAGGATATGAAGTCACTGCAGCCAGGAGCTGCGTGTACTCAGGTGGGAAAGCAGAGGTTCAGAGGTGAATAAACACTCAGGTGCTGCAGGAGCACAGAGAGGCACAAACCCTGAGCAGGCGGCCTGGGTGAAGGACAGAGACGAGTGAGCTGGAGTCACGGACGCAGGGAGTGGCAGCAGAGGGGTGCAGCATAAGGAACAAAATGGAGAAGGGCCAGCAGGAACTGCCGTGGATCCATGGGGCCAGAGTATGTGGGAAGGTTAGAGGAAAGGAGGGCGGGCCCCTGGGTGTGGGCAGTGGGAGGCAGGCATCTCTGGACCACCCTGACATGCGACCAGGATGCGGGGGACTTGGGATTGGAGGAGAGCTGAGGGTCCACAGAGACAGATCCAGAATCCTGACCTCTGAGAGAGGAGACAGTGGAGGAGCAGCTAAAGGGTGAGGATAAGAGGCAGAGGACAGCCTGTGACACAAAGGGGAAGAGACCATGGGTCCCTGGTGTTTAGCACCAAGGTGACCTTGGTGCGCAGGGATGGAAAAGAAATGTGTGGGAATGAAGTGAGGAAGGGGGAAGAGTGAGAACACAGGTTTCTGCAAGTAGTCTCTCATAGAGGGAAGAACTTAGGCCTGGGGTGGGAGACATGCTCTTTATTTAATTAATTAATTAATTCTTTTTCTTTTTCTTTTTTTTTTTTTGAGATGGAGTCTCGCTGTCATCCAGGCTGGAGTGCAGTGGCGTGATCTCAGCTCACTGCAGTTTCTGCCTCCCAGGTTCCAGCAATTCTCTTGCCTCAGCCTCCCCGGTAGCTGGGATTACAGGCACGTGCCACCACGCCCGGCTAATTTTTGTATTTTTAGTAGAGATGGTTTCACCATGTTGGCCAGGCTGGTCTCGAACTCCTGACCTCAGGTGATCCGTCCGCCTTGGCCTCCCAAAGTGCTGGGATTATAGGCATTAGCCACTGTGCCCGGCCTATTTTTTTTTTTTTTTGAGACAGGGTCTCACTCTTTGACCCAGGCTGGAGTGCAGTGGCATGATCACAGCTCACTGTAGCCTCCACCTCATGGGCTCAGGTGATCCTTCCACCTCAGCCTCCCAAGTAGCTGGGACTACAGGCGTGTGCCTCCATGCCCAGATGATTTTTGTTATTTTTTGTAGAGACAGGATCTTGTCATGTTGCCCAGGTTGGTCTCGAATCCTGGGCTCAAGTGATCCACCCGCCTTGGCCTCCCAAAGTGTGGGATTACAGGTGTGAGCCACTGCACCTGGCCTGCTCTTTATTTTTAATGAGAGAGACTTGAGTATTTGGGACAGGGGAGCAATGAAGGAAACTGCAACCCAGGAGGGACCCGCCCAAATGAAGTGAGGTCTCAGTGTGGCAGGATGTAGGGCTTTGGGTGTGTGGTGGGTGCAGGCTGTTACTCTTCCCCTATGGAGAAACACTCCTACCCTAAGCCCCTTGGGTCGCAACTGACTGGCTGTGGGAAGGGCACTGGATGAAGCAGTCACTGCTGCCTTTTCCACACGACTGTGCTGTGTGAGCTTCAGCACATTTTCCTTTTGGCCTATACTAGTTTCTGTTGGGTTCACCTCTCTTGTAAACATGCAAGCCCCGAGTAGAAAGTAAAAGAGGAGTGAAGAGGGAGGCATGAAGGGATGAGGGACACATCTACAGGCTGAGCGAGACACGGAGCAAACAGCTGAGGTCATTCCTACCTGGAGACAATGGTTTTGCACCCAGGTGATGCCTATCCACTGGCCAAATCAGCACGGACTTCAGCAGAAAACCACTCAGGCCATGGTGGCGCACCCTGCTGAAGGCCAGCCCTGGCAATGGCAGGCAGCCTGCTGGGAGGCACACAAGCGCCTATGAACGGCCTCACCTGCACATTCACTGAGTGGCTTGCTGACCCAGTGCCTGCCCTCCTGCATCGACTTGGACTTGGTCACACAGAGCACTGAAGGGTAGCTTGCAAGGAGCCAGGGGCTGCTCCCCAAACTTGGCACCCCTCACCAGAAATTCCTCAGAATCTGTCTTTGCCTAATTTATCCATACTTATCGAGACTGCTGAGTTTTAAGTTTACTGCCTCTTGGGAGTTCGTTAGTTCCTACAGAACTGAATGTCTCTAATGACTCACACTCACCTCCTGTAAACTTCCAGAGGGGGTCTGTTGCAGCCCTTGCCTCCTGCAGGTCTCCTGGGTCCCTTCCGCACATCTCCTTCCTTCCCACAAACATCCTGGGTATGTGGTGCACAGACAGGCTTCCCTCCTGGAGCCACTACATGTTAACTGCTTTATCTGGACTCTGAGGCCCTCTGTAATGTGGCTCTACTTCGCCTTTCCTCCTTTTCACTCATCTAAATTTCCAGCCTCCCATGGGTCCAGCTCAAGTCCCACCTCCTCCAAGAAGCACAGTAGTGCTGATCCCTGAACATGCCTCCATGGGCCAGGCTGAGGTGCCATCTCTCACTCCAGAAGCCTCTGAGGAGCCCAGGCCTGCGCTGGCTCTCAAGAAAGGCCCTGCCTGACAGCCACAGCCACGAGTTCACTCTCCTGCTCCTGTGGTGAGCTGCTCTGAGGCTGGGAGGCAGTGGACAGACCCACTCTCCCAGTGTGCCCCCAACAAAAGATCACACTTCCCCAGCACTCCCTGTAGTTAGGCATAGCTATGACCAGGTGAAAACCTACTTGTGAAGCTGATGAGTGGAATGCGGGGTGGATTATGAGTGGAAGTGAAAAGTGCAGATTTGGCTTCCTGTCCTTAGAAATGAAGCTGCTGGCTCTCCATGCTCTTTCCTCAGGGTGGATTATGGACATGGCAGTGACCCAGCTTCAACCATGAGGATGAGAATAATATCCTAAGGATACTGGGTCTCTGGACAGCACAGACTGTTACGGGAGACATAAATGAACATCCAGCTTCTTTAAGAAACAAAAGTTCAACACTTTTGTCTAACATGTCACTCAAAACCAAGTTCGGATCTAAGACTCCCACCATCTGACTTCTAGATCTGAGAAACATTCACACTGTCCCAGAAATGAGGACACGTATGAAAGAAAATGGGAACAATTCAACACAATATATGTGGACATAAAGATTTATCCTAGATAGGGTGACACAATCCAGACAGTTTTGTAGCAAAGCACCACAGACTGGAGAGGTCAGACTGGCCTCAGCCCAAAGCTGAGCCAGCTCTAGTCTCCCCTGTGCCCCTGTCCTTAAGGAGACTCAGTGAGGACCTGGCCACCTTCCTAGGGAGGGAGGCTGGCCAGGACCACTAAACCAAAGATGTGCTGGGAATGAAAGGAGGGTCCTGGAGATCACCTAAGAACTGGAAGGGCTGTGTTTGGTGGACAGGAGGAGCTGGGGGACTGTGGCCTCTCTCAGATAACTCAGAGAGAACAGCAACAGGAGGGCCATGAACAGCCGAGGAGAGCCCCAGCCTGTATGGCTGCCCCACCCCCAGACAAAGGGAGAGACATTTCCTCAGGGAGTCAAAGCTTTTATTACCTGATAGTCCCTAGTGTGGTGCCAGAGATACCGCTCTGGTCCTATTACTCCCCATGATATCAGTGGTGGGGATGGGGGAGGGGACCAGGGAGAGAGGGGAGGGATATTTACAGTGCATGGTGGTACGGGGACAACCACTTTCCTCGAGAGCTCTGAGAACTTTGTGCTTTTTTTCTTAGTTGGTGCCGAGCTACCTGGAATGGATTTTGTGTTTATCTTCTTTAGGGAAAGATGTATTAACCAAAGCACAATCCAGCCCAATTTCTCGGCTGAGGATTTCACGATATCAATCCAAACATCACACTATTTAATTCCCCAATAAAACATTGGAAAAAGGACTATCAGTGCTAACACATTTACATATAAAATTTCCACCTAATAGGTAATAGAAGCCTATGTACCAATTTCTAAAACAGTTATAAGATATATACACAATTTGGGGTATATTAACAAAACAGAATATTACAAAATATTAAAGGCAATCCTCCTGGTCCACGGACCCTTGTTGCCGCTTACTTGAAGTTGGCATAATCTGAGAATGCATCAATATACTCCTGCACCACCTTGTAGCAGAACTCATACTGTTCCTGGAGAGTGAAAGGTAGGGAAAAAGTCAGGGTTACTGAAGAACACACAGTACCTGTAATTCCTAACAGACTCATTTTTTTGTTGAAGATGGAAAATCAAGAGGAACTGAATGTTTTTGAACTTTCACCTGAGCTCTGATCTGCCTGCCAGAGTTCTGACAGCATTCCCCTTCCGGGCTGAATGCAGCAGACCTTCTACAAGCAGAGCTGACCAGAGCTGACCCAGGCCCCACAGAGGTCAGACAGGCATGTGCTGGGCTGGGAGACAGTGCAGCTGAGCATGGCCCACGCTTACCATGGCTGCCAGGCTAGCATGCACCCTGGCTCTCAGAACCTCGTCTCCCAAACCTCCTAACATTCACTTTTCTTTACCCCCCAAACATTTCTAGCTCCATGGGATTCAGGAAAACCTCTGTGGATGTGCGGCTTATTAAAGTCAGACCTCTTAACAGGGAGCCCAAGCCCAAAGGCAGGTACTCTTCATGGATCTTCCTTACCCAAGACCCACAGAGAAGTACAGATGAGCCCTGTGGGGCACCCAGACACCCCTTCTAACCTGGCCCAACCTCTGGCAACAGGGGCTATGCTCCCATTGCTGCCATCCTGCCTCCCAATGTTTCCTGTGTATTTGGGGCACCTTGGGAGGGCAAGGGCAGGTCTGTGTTTAGACAGTCTTCTGACTACTGGGTGGGCCCCTCTGAAGAGCCTCCTCCCTGAGAGAAGGGCTGCAGGTGGTGTGGTGGCAGGGACAAATATGTGGGCAGCATACCAGTGTCTGGACCATGTGTGGCCTCTGTAGCCGCAGGCTCTTGACAGTCTGGAAGACATCCAAAATCCCCTCTGCTTTCACACGCTCCAGGACGGTGCTCAGGGCACAGAAGGTCCCCGTCCTTCCTGCCCCGGCGCTGCAACAGAGCAGACACATTTACCACACCTGTGATGGCCCTCTGTGCAAGGGGGTGAGTGACAGTGGTGAGTGGCAGAAGAGGTGGGGGCAGGCAGCTGGTGCTCGCCTTTGCCCTGTGGACCCACCAGCCTGGAGGGGTTCTGGGTCGGGAGGCAGTGTACCCTGTGCCCTTCCTGCATGGCCCCATGTGCTGTGGAGGGACTCACCTGTTGGACCGTGGGGGACGACCTTCACTCACACCCCACCAGCACAGAGCCATTGCTGTCCACCTGCACATGCTGGCCTAGGTTGTTCTGACCTGCTGTTCGCTCAGTTAGAACTAGCTCTAGTCCTGTCTTTCCCTTTTTCTGACAAACCCCACTCCCTACACTGGTGTGTATCTGCTGATTCCTTTCCATGTCTTTCACTTTCTTCCCAAATCCACGGAATCCAGACTCTGACCTTGACAATATCCCCCTATTCAATGTCATCAGCTGATTCACTCACCAGACACTGAGTGCCTACTCTGAGGCAGGGACTGTGGGGTTTAGCAATGTCCCCAGACAAGAAGATGTGTGGTAAGGAAAGAGAAAAGAGGAGTGGGAGTTCTGGCAGGGTACTCAGGGAAGGCTTGGGCAAAGCCCTGTGGCTGCCTGGGAAACTGGCATCTCAGGCCCATGGCAGGAGTGTGCTCAGAGCCAGCCCATGGTGCACACCATCCTCTCCCGGCCCTGGCCAGGGACCCCTCAGAACATATTGGGCCTTGTAAGCTGTTGTTAGGATTCTAAGTAAAGGAGTGCATTTTTTCTAAAACGTAACCTCCAGCAACATGCCCCATACAAAATTCAACTTTTCCCCTCAAACAAACCTCTTTACTGTCTCTCTTCTGCTGGTCACACCAACCCAGGCTCAAACCTGGGAGACACCCTTGACTCCTCTTCTCTTTCACCCTCTGTTCATAGCACAACCGGGGTCTCCACTGCCAGTCTCCCCTGCTGCTCTCCTGCCCACTATCTGAACATTAGTCCCCTAGCACTTATTGTGCCAAGTTCAAGCTCCAAGGTCCTCTCTCTTAGCATCCAATCCTGTCTTGGCATCAATCTCAACTACTATGTGCTCACCAATATCTTGCTCTTGTATGGCTTTCTTCAGTCTGACCCATGGTCATCAGCTTCCCCTATCTGCCCCTCCTCGCTTTCTCTCTCCCGCTGAGGGCAAGGGTGAGCCATACCTGCAGTGCACGGTGATGGGGTGGTTCCCTGACTGCTGCTGCTGCTTCTGCACGGCGGCGATGATGCTGATCATGCCCTTTCCGTCACTGGGGATGCCCACTTCAGGCCAGCCATGGAAGTGGAACTGCCGGATCTGCCGGCTCTTATTCTCCTTTGGAAAAAAGGGGATCAGGGAGGCAGGGGTAACCCTGCTTTTCCTGTGGGCAGAGTCCACCCACGACCCATCTTACCCTGGTGTTGGTGACCAGGAGGTCTCGGACGGTGTAGCTCTCACATTCCTCCTCCTTCTTCAGTTCCACTGTAATATCTCCATAGGACACCAGTCCATCAGATGGCCAGTACTGGGCACACTTCTCCTGGAGAGACAGGTTGGAGAGGTGAGGAGCTCAGAGTACCACATGTGTAGAAGCAGCACTGCCCACGAGCAGCCTGACCCCTCTCAGTACAGCCACCTCTTACGCTGATACGCTTCGTCCCCAAGGTATTGAAAACTTGCAGGATCATTATATCACATCATTCCAATTAACCTCCGATCCTCACCAGAGACCATCTAAAACACTGCCGGGGTCTGTAAAGGACTCTGACTACAGGCTCACAGGGTATCCAATACTTGGTGGCTGCAGGGAGAGGAGGACGAGTGAAAATCTTTGTTCCAATTCCTTTCTTTTTCTCCCATGGGGTGTTTTCATATTTAATGCTGCTTACATCCGCCAGACTGCTAATTCAGAAAATCAGAACCAATTCACATTCCCACACAGCCATGGGCTTCACCACCGCCCAGGCCACAGTATCCTTTCTCCCTTTTACCTTTATCTCTTTGATCTGCAAGGTACCTTCAAGTTGCTAGCACTCGCCTTTCTGTCCTTGCTAGTGAGCAGGAGGTGGTCTACTGTCTGTCTTTGCTTGCACCTGGCTCACTTCCCTCTACAGCTCCTTGTGGGAGTGGCTGCGTCTCTTTTCATCTCTGTATTCCCCACACCTTGCACAATGCCTGGCACATGGTAGGCTCTCAGTATCTGGTAAATGAATTTGTTCAATGTCTGCAGAACAAGCCAAGGCATAAATACATAAATATAACATCACACAGTTATGCTGCCCATTTCTTTAGAGAATTTGGGGGTAAGATCTGAGATTCTTCACTACTGGCAATTGAAAAATTCTCAACCATACATATAATGTCATTGAAAGATTTGGAAAAAAATTAAGTAGAAAAAGAAATTGTGAATAGTCTCACAGTCCAAATAAAATCATGATTATTAAAGTGTTGAATCAAGAACATGCCCTGGACTAGTGCTTTTCCACCCATGTTCTCTAGAAGCCCTGGGGATGCCTCAGGGATCGGTGCCCTGGGCCTCTCTTCAACCAGAACAGCCAAAAAAAAAAAAAAATTCTCATTAAGGCTCACCTCGATCAGGCATTATATTAGTTTTTATGGCACTGGTGGGTGGAATGGATTTTGCTACCACAGTGCCTTCTCAACACTGCTTTACACAGTGTCTCAGCTGGGATGAAGACTGGGCCTTTAAAACCATCAGAACCATAAGGTCCCCATGGGTGTGAGCCACAGTGTGTGTGTGCTGGAGGAATTGAGCATGATCTCTCAGACAGAAATACATATCAAGTCTAGGGACTAGGTATCAACACTAAGAGTCTCATTTTTTTTTTCTTTTTTGAGAGAGTCTTGCTCTGTCGCCCAGGCTGGAGTGCAGTGGCATGATCTTGACTTACTGCAGCCTCCGCCTCCCAGTTTCAAGTGATTCTCCCACCCCAGACTCCCAAGTAGCTGGGACTACAAGTGTGCGCCACCATGCCTAGCTAATTTTTGTATTTTTAGTAGAGACAGGGTTTCACCATGTCGGCCAGGCTGGTCTCAAACTCTTGACCTCAGGTGATCCACCTGCCTCAGCCTCCCAAAGTGGTAGGATTACACAGGCGTGAGCCACCACATCTGATCAAAAGTCTCTAAATTTTGTATACATGGGCGGATTTTCTCTCAAGATCTCTGGAAGACCAAAGAGGATTTTTTTTTTTTTTTTTTTTGAGATGGAGCTTCACTCTTATTGCCCACGCTGGAGTGCAATGGCGCGATCTTGGCTCACTGCAACCTCCGGCTCCCGGGTTCAAGTGATTCTCCTGCCTCAGCCTCCCCAGTAGCTGAGATTACAGGCATGCATCACCATGCCCGCTAATTTTGTATTTTTAGTAGAGACGGGGTTTCTCCATGTTGGTCAGGCTGGTCTCGAACTCCCGACCTCAGGTGATCCACCCGCCTCGGCCTCCCAAAGTGCTGGGATTACAGGCGTGAGCTGCCGCACCTGGCCTCAAACAGGATTTGTAAGACAAGGAGTGACAATGATTTATATTTTCAAAAGGACCAGCAGCTGCCATTTGAAAAACTAAAAGTGGGTTAGGATGAGAGCAGGAGGACCAGTTGCCAGGCCACTGCAGACGAGGCTGCGCATATGAGTCATGCCCACAGTCCCACGGGCAAGCAGTGAGAGACGAGGGCTTGTTCAGATGACAGCAGTTACGCTGGAGAAAAGTGGGGAGGCTCTGCCTGTATCAGGACTCAGTGGCAGACTGGATGTGAGGGGTGAGGAGAGGGGAGGAAGGAAGGTAACTCCCGGATTTTAGACATGAGCAACTGGGCAGAAGGTGGTACTATTTATTTAGATGGCTAAGAGTGGGGTGGACTGGTGTCGGGGGAAGGAGGAAATCAGGAGCCCACATTGGGAAGGGGGACAGGTGACTGGCCTAGAGACGCAGATTGAGGATCCCTGGCATATGGGTTGTACTTAAAGCCATAGGACTGGCTGAGATCCTGAAGGGCTAGTGTGTCAAAAGAAAACAGAGTGGGCTAGCGCCCGAGTCTAGTATACTCCAATGTTTTAGAGGAGGAGGTCACAAAGAAATAACAAAGGAGCTGCCAGGTTAGTGAGTGGGGTGATGCTACGGAAGTAAGTGTTCTGAGGAAGAGGAGGGAGGTACTGACTCTTTCAAATGCTGCTGTAAGGACAAAAAAAAAAAAATCAGAAAAGAGAAATGACCTTTGGATTTGGCAAGAGGACAGTCACTGGTGATCTTGACTAAAGCAGTCCCAGTGGGGCCAAGCCTGGAAGGAACAGAGCGAACAGAGAACTTGCAGGGAGAAAGCCAACTCTTTTTTTTTTTTTTTTGAGATGGAGTCTCACTCTGCCACCAGGCTGGAATGCAGTGGCGCGATCTTGGCTCATTGCAACCTTCAGCTCCCTGGTTCAAACGATTCTCCTGCCTCAGCCTCCCGAGTAGCTGGGATCACAGGCATGCACCATCGCGCCCAGCTAATTTTTGTATTTTTAGTAGAGATGGGGTTTTGCCATGTTGGCCAGGCTGGTCTCGATCTCCTGACTTTGTGATCCGCCCACCTTGGCCTCCCAAAGTGCTGGGATTACAGGCGTGAGCCACCGCGCCCGGCCGAAAGCCAACTCTTTAAAGGAGTTTTGCTGGGAAGGGGTGCAGAGAAATAGGATAGTAGGTGGAAGGGAAAGTGAGATTAGCAGATTTTTTGTTTTTAAAAGATAGGAAATGTAACATGTATAGGCTGATGAGAGTAGTGGTTAAAGAGGGGAACTGCTGATGGAGGTGGGAGAGAAGATGGTTATAGCAGCAACATCCCTGAGCAGGCAGGACGGAATGGGGCCAAGAGCACAGTGGACAGGTGGATTGAGAGATGCAGAAACCCTTTTCCACTGTAACAAGAGAGAATAGAGTTGGTACAGATTTGAAGAGGCTGGTTGTTTGGGGGTGGGAGGATGACAGTGTTCTTGTCTGATTTCTTGGAGAAGAATGAGGCCAGGTCACAAGCTAAGGTGTGAGTATGATGGGACAGGCAAGAGCAGATGCTGGAGGTTTCAGGAAGAAAAGAAAGAGCAATAGCATTGCTAGGTGGCACCAATTACCTCTATGAGATTTGTGGTCATGAGTTCAGTGTGAGAGCATTTGGCACTGTTTTGTGTTTTTGCCCAGTGATGTTTGCTATATCAGATAGAGGCATATAACTGGGTTTTACTAGAGAGTTTGCTATGAAAGTAAGAAAGCATGAGGGAATAAGGAAAGGTAATAATGACATACCACAAAAACTCAAATCAGAAAACTCAAACGCTCAAAAACAGAACTCAAAAACACACAGAGTAAGGAGGAAGGTGAGGACATGTTCGGTGTGACTGATGTTGAGAAAGTGGAGGCATCAATAACTCTAAGGACTTGATGAAGACAAAAATGACTGGAATAAAAGAGAATACTGAGGTGGGAGGAAGGAGGCAGTAAACAGGGCGGATGCCTTGTTGAGATTCCAAGGGCAGTGCAGATACAGGGCAGATGGTGACTTGACCATGGGATCAGGTGGCTGAGGAAGCTGAGGAATAGAAAGATTGAGGATAGATGGATCATCCACATGGTGACTGATGCCTCCAAAAGCAGAGTCAGGAACAGGGGCTCAAAAGGAGCAGTAAGCCAGGTGTTAAAGTCATCAGTGGGTGAGGGACAGAAGATGGGGAATGGGGATTCAAGACCAGTAGAAGAAAAGCTGGGGACTGGAGTTTCATCTCAGATTTGTGTGTTCACGTTACGGCCTCTAGATAATAGCATCTTAAAGAAGTGAAACAGGGAAGGTTTTCTGTCTTTTCTCCTACTTTGTCTTTCCACCAGATAGCATGAAGTCTCTTATGTCTTATGTCTCTTATGAGGTCTAAGGCGGACATGGTGATGGGGACACACAGCTTTGTGAAGACTAATGCTATCAGGTTTCACTATGCTTTAGAGAAGCAGGATGAGGCCTAGGGTTGGGCTAGGCCTAGGGTTGACCCAGCATGGGAGTTCCTGGCACTGCTCTGTCTGCCCAGGCTGATGATGGTCCAAGCTGCAGCTGCTGAGGGAACCCAGGCATCCTGGTGGACCCTTTTGATTAAAATAGAGCAGAAGGAGGCCAGGCGCAATGGCTCATGCCTGTAATCTTAGCACTCTGGGAGGCTAAGGCGGGCGGATCACTTGGGGTCAGGAGTTTGAGACCAGCATGGCCAACATGACGAAACCCTGTCTCTACTATGGAAATTAGCTGGGCATGGTAGTGCATGCCTGTAATCCCAGCTACTCGGGAGGCTGAGGTGGGAGAATCACTTGAACCCTGGAGGTGGAGGTTGCAGCGAGCTGAGATTGTGCCACTGCACTCCAGTCTGGTGGACAGAGTGAGACTCCATCTCAAAAAAAAAAAAAAAAAAAAAAAAAAAGCAGAGGGAGATAATTAAAAATTTTTAATTCCTTCGAGATTTTAATTTGTAAGTACAGAATTTATATTATGGGATCGAATTTTTTTCTCTGGGAACTTAATATTGTAGGTGAGGATGGTAGTGTCACTGTATAAGTGTAGGCACCTTTCATTGCATCATTTAGGCTTAGTGCGTTAATTACTTCTGGGAGCTACACTTGACAACATGAATGGAACAGAAAGTGAACTTGGGGGCCAGTGAGGCCTTGTAAAGAACATCACTAACATCCTGTTCCAATCCACTCAGAAGCTTTTGAGGGCAAGCACTACTGTCTGCTTCACTGGCCTAGGAAGACAGAGCATAAGCTACAGTGGAAGGCAGAGGGAGAGGCCTCACTCAACAGGCAGCAGAATTTGTGTGCGCACGACTCTTCTCCCCACCGCCACACACATGAAATGCTTCCTGCCCCCTGCCCTTTACTCTCACTAGGTCCTTTTCAAGGATGGAAGAGCCTGCATCTGACTGGACAGAGGCGGAGATGTTCACTGGGCCACATTTTATCACAGGGCAGTGGGCCGAGATGGTCCTTGTGCTCGTGGTTCCAGCTCTTCGGCCTGCTCTTTGGTCCTGCCCATCACAGATCTGAAGGGCAGGGGTGCAGAAGGAACCACAGGTAGGGCCCTGGTCTGATCTGCAGGTTCCATCACGACTGATCAGAGACGGCAGGAACAGGCACCTAGCTCCTGAGAACACAGTGGCTCATTTCCTAAACAGCTTTTGTTACTCAGGTGTGTGCTTCCTTGAGTGCAAAGCCAAGCACCTTAACCGAACCTCCCACCTCATCAGTATTGTTATTAATGATGATGAAGACACTGGGCGCAGTGGCTCACGCCTGTAATCCCAGCACTTTGGGAGGCTGAGTCAGGCAGATAACCTGAGGTCAGGAGTTTGAGACAAGCCTGGCCAACATGGTGAAACCCCGTGCCTACAAAAATTAGCCAGGCATGATGGTGGGTGTCTTTAATCCCAGTTACTAGGGAGGCTGTGGCAGGAGAATTGCCAGAACCTGGGAGGCAGAGGTTGCAATGAGCCCATATTGTGCCACTGCACTCCAGCCTGGGTGACAGAGACTCCGTCTCAAAAAAAAAAAAAAAAAAGATGATGAAGACCTACAAAGTATGTCTGTTGATTAGGTACATGATACAAGTCTAGGAAGAATAGCTAATGAGTTAAATGACTGATCAAAATTGAAAAAAATGCCGGGCAAGGTGGTTCAAACCTGTAATCCTAGCACTTTGGGTCAACCAGGTGGGTGGATCAATTGAGCCCAGGAGTTCAAGACCAGCCTGGGCAACATGGTGAAACCCTGTCTCTACAAAAAAATACAAAAACTAGCTGGGCATGGTGGCACGTGCCTTTAGTCCTAGCTACTTGGAGGGCTATGTGGGAGGATCACTTGAACCTGGGAGGTTGAGGCTGCAGTGAGCCAAGATCGTGCCACTGCACTCCAGCCTGGGTGACAAAGTGAGACCCTCTCTCAAACAAACAAACAAACAAACAAAACCAAAAAAAAAAAAAAAATCCTGATGTAATGAAACATCAGGGTGAGAAAATATGTGTAAAGCCTTGTACCAAAGTTAACACAAGTACAGATGGGGAACAACTAGTGACTTGAGACAACTAATGTAAAACATACTTTGTATTTTAAATGTTTGACTATAAATTCAATGAGTCATGAGTGGGTGCCATCCTTAATTCCTCCTCACTTCACCCTTTCTGGGACAGCACCCTCTCACCACCCGAGTCCAGGCCACCAGCATTACTGCCACAGCTTTCGCATTTCTAATGAGTCCTTCTCACTGCTGCCAGAGGGATTTTTTAAAAAACACAAATGGGATGTTGTCAAGGGCTCTTCAATTGCTTTAGGAAGACCAAACTCTTCACTGTGGCTTAGAAGGAATTTTCTCACCAGGCCTTGCTAGCTTCTCTCCAGGCCCATTCTCTAGATTCTCATCCCTGCTAAGTGACACCCCAGACATAGTGAACCGCTCATTTGCTGCAATGTGCAACCTCAACAGAAATAATTTTTAAAAGAATAAGCATTGTCAGAACACAGACTGGGTCCCCCCATAATGTGGGGGGTGAGGGAGATATCCCTGAGATTGAATGTGCTTAGTAGAGGCTGTATGATTCTGACTCAGGAACAATATTAGGAGGTTTCCTATACTGAGAGGAAGTTGACCTAGGGGACTGCTAGTGTCCCTTTTTAGTATGAGTTTCCGGACAGCTCTGCTTTTTAATAGACCTGAGGGCTTTTTTCTTTAAAAGATTTCCTTATTACTGAATATTAGACTGTAAGTTTCTTGTTTGTATAATTTCTCAAATTCTACTGCTTTATTTTATGTAGTCAGCAATGAGGCAATCCCTTCTTAGGGACACTCATATTGGGTCCACCTCAGAACCTTGACCTATCTGCCCTGCCTGGGGCACTGGGAAGGAGAGGGTGCCCCCCCCGCCTGGGGCACTGTGCAAAGGCTAGGCTAGGGGGACTGTATTCAGGAGAAAGTGCAAGGGTGTGAGCTGTCTGGGAATAACATGGAGGCTCAGATCACATTGCTTTTCTAGTCTTGGGAGAAGCTAATGACTGCTTAGACACCAACGGGCTGGGCAATCCTGGAAATGCATATGTATTTATATACCTTTAAGTATGTACTTATACTATGCAAACGTACTCTTTGGACCGTATAAGTCAAAGACAAGGTCCAAACACCTTCTTGCCTTCCCAACGTCCCCATTTACACACACATCTTTTCATGCTGTCTCTGTCTCTCACCACCCAGGACCTTTTGAACTCACCTGGCCTCTCTCCTCCAGTTCTGTTAGCATCACGATAGAGCAGGATTTCCACTCCCAGATCATTCGCCAGAAGTCCTCAATTGTGTGGAGAAGAGGGCCCTGGCTGGCGATATAGGAGTCCTTCTGCCGGTAGCCCTGCACAGGCCAGGTTAATTGCAAGGGTGAGATGGTTTAATCACAGAGGGACTAGTGGAGAAGACAGACCACTAGAAGGGAATGGGGACTGCTCGGAGGCAAACTCAGCCCATGCAGAGCTCCCCTGTGGCCAAGGACGAAACCCTATCTGACAAGCTGGTTGCTTTCTGTAAGAGACAGGGAAGTGGAACAGGGATTAGAGCTAGGATGAAGAGGGCAGGAATGGGAAAGATCAGGGGGCAGCCAGGTTCCTCTTGGCTGTGGTCTGCTCTGTGAACTTTTTCTTCCAGGTATTATACTACTGCATGCCATCTGTTTTCCCCCACCTTCTGCTCTATGGAGCTGGACAGACCTAATGCACAGGGTGAGTGGGTGGGTGAGTATCAATTCACTATTTGTTGACTGATTCAAACATGATCCTCCCCAGCAGGTATGGGAGGGAGGCACTGCAAGTGCTGGCTGAATCTCCACGGGGTGTTGGGGGCTCAGGGGTCACACCCACCACTTACATCAATAAAGGATGCGTTCACATAGTCTGTATTCTCTTCGCCCCGCTTAACTGGAATGATCACTCTGTTGAATTCATCTGTAAGAAGAATAGCGGCTTATGGCTAGCCAATATCATTTGTCCTCTCCCTCTCCTTGCATTGCTCCCACCTCAGGCCCTGGGCAGACAGAATCCCAGCTGGGCAAGGACATGTCTGTTCCTAGCTCATTAGGGAGAAAGCCTTTGGCTTTTACGTTATTTCCAGAAGCCACTAAGGTGCAACAAAAGGCAACGCCATGTTGTTAAGTGGGTGCAACAAGAGGCAATGCCATGATTCTTGTCTATACGCCAATCATTAACTAGTACCTGAGAAATGGAAGGGGTGGAGGGAATTGAGGGATGGGGCAATAAGGCTTTGGAGTGGCGGGAGGGCTCTTACATGGAATGATCTGTAAAACACGGTTCTTCTTCATGTTGGCTGGAAGGTTTCCAGTCCGCATCTTGTCATTCTGGATTTTGATTGATGTTAACTTCTGAATTGGGAAGGGGAGGGGAAACATTACTGATCCCAGTAACTGAACTTGACAAGATTATGCCTGTCCCTTGGCCTGCACCTCCAGGCCACTCTGGCTCCATACTGCTCTTCTCACCAGGGCCCTGACCTCTGTTCCCATATGTTCAGCTGGAACCCTGAAGCCAAGAGACTGTTTGGGAAATGCTACCTTCCAGGCTCCTGTGGACTCTCTTGAGATTCTCCTGGCTTGGAATTTTGTGATCCTGGAGCAAGGGATTCCAGCATCGTAGGAGGGAGTGTGTCCACTCTGCAGTTCCACCCCCAGAGGCTGCCTAAGGCTCTTCAAAAAAACTTATTCAGAATTGCATCCTCCCTTCCCGATTGAGGCTCCTTCTTGACATTTGCTACTCAAAGTGTAGCCCATACACCAGCAGCGTTGGCTTCACCTTATTAGAAATGCAGAATCTCAAGCCGGGCGTGGTGGCTCATGCCTGTAATCCCAGCACTTTGGGAGGCCAAGGTGGGCAATCAACTGAGGTTAGGAGTTTGAGACCCGCATGGCCAACATGGTGAAACCCTGTCTCTACTAAAAATTAGCCGGGGGTAGTGGCACGTGCCTGTAGACCCAGCTACTTAGGAGGCTGAGACAGAAGAATCCCTTGAACCCGGGAGGCAGAGGTTGCAGTGAGCTGAGATCGCGCCATTGCACCCCAGCCCGGGTGACAAGAGTGAAACTCCATCTCAAAAAAAAAGAAAAGAAAAAAAGAAATGCAGAATCTCAAGCTCTAACTCATACCTGCTGAATCAGAACCTAATATCTTTTTTTTTTTTTTTTTTGAGACAGAGTCTTGCTCTGTCACCCAGGCTGGAGTGCAGTGGCACAATCTCAGCTCACTGCAATCTCTGCCTCCTGGGTTCAAGTGATTCTCCTGCCTCAGCCTCCCAAGTAGCTGGGATTACAGGCATGTGCCACCATGCCTGGCTAATTTTGTATTTTTAATAGAGACAGAGTTTCTCCGTGTTGGTCAGGCTGGTCTTGAACTCCTGAGCTCAGGTGATCTGCCTGACTTGGCCTCCCAAAGTGCTGGGATTACAGGCATTAGCCACCGTGCCTGGCAGAACCCACATCTTGACAGGATCCCAAAGAAATCTGTGCACATGCTATATTTGAGAAGAACTTCTCTAAGTGGTCCTCCCCACCCCAACCCAGAATCTCCTGCTTCTGAGAAAGCACTTTTTTTTTTTTTTTTTTTGAGATGGAGTCTCGCTCTGTCGCCCAGGCTGGAGTGCAGTGGCATGATTTCGGCTCACTGCAACCTCTGCCTTCCGGGTTCAAGCAATTCTCTCGCCTCAGCCTCCTGAGTAGCTGGGACTACAGGCATGTGCCATCATGCCTGGCTACTTTTTGTATTTTTAGTAGAGACGGGGTTTCACCATATTGGCCAGGCTGGTCTGGAACTCCTGACCTCATGATCCACCTGTCTCAGCCTCCCAAAGTGCTGTGATTACAGGCGTGAGCCACTGTGCCCAGCCTGGGAGAGCACTTTTACTGATGACAGTGTGACATATGCCTTAGGTGTGTTGAGAACCATTGTCTAGTGGCATATAGGAGCTATCAGTGATCTAAGGTCCAGAGGCCAAATCTGGCCTGCTGCCTGCTGCCTGCAAATAAAGTTTTATAAAACAGCCACACTCATTATATTTACCTATTGGTTATGGCTGCCTTTGTGTTACAAAGACAGCACTAAGTAGCTGGATAGAAACCATGTGGGCTGCAAAGCCTAAAATATTTATTATCTGGCTCTTACAGAAAAAACTGCTCTTGCTGTGTATCATAATCACCTCGGAGGGCTAGGGGCCTTAAAATACTGTTGCCTGCTTCTCCCTACTCTAACACAACCAAAGTGATTCCAACGTGCAGGATGAGTTGAGAGTTACCAGAGTACGAGGAAAGGACCATCTCCTTAACCACTGGCATGCCTCACAAGGGGATTTACTGTTGGCAAATGCACAGTCAGGCATCCCATGTTCCCCAGATTACAAGGATCCTTCAATCTGAAGGAGGTTATCCAGCTCCAACTCACCTTAAACTCCTCCTCTAATCCATTGTTGCTGGTCCCTGGGATTTTGTTGTAAATTTTCTGCAGGTGGGTTTCTAGAGAGGTCACTTCCAGTTCTGTATCTCCATAGAGATAATGCTCCAGAAGGGCTTGGTATATGAAGACATACTGCATCTGAAACATGAATGACACAGAAGTTCTTGGTTACATACAACATAGTTCTCATGCCAGATCACCTGTTCCCACCCCCACTTCACTCCAGTCCATTTCTCCTTTGATCCTAGCAGGAATAAAAGGACTCCCTCTTATTATCCCAATTTAGTGAAGTGGGACTTGAAATGCAGGAGTCCCTGTGGGGGTGCTTTACTTGGGAAGAAGGGTCCAGGTCTATCTTGGGGGTGGTGGACGCCTGGAGAGAAGGACAAACTCAATTCCTGTTCATTCTGAGAGTGCAGATTTAATAGTCTGAAGGGGCTGTCAGAAACTGGAGACACCCAAAGCCCGTGATAGTCTGGTCCCTGCCTCCCTCCTGGTGCTATGCCCCAACTGCAGAGCCAATCTCACTGCTGCTCCCAGATGTGGCCGAGCTTCATCATGTCTCTGGGCACTGGCTCTTTCAGCTGCCTGTTCCCTAATCTTTGAAGTCCAGTAACCTGTCATCTGCCTTCCTGACTCTCCCAGGCATGAAACCACAACCTCCTCTGTGCTCGATTTCTTTGAATACATAATTTATAAGAGCCCTTCATCACATGAAAGGGGCTAGCCCCTCCACACCTGTGGATGTTTCTCGTCAGGTGGGACGAGAGACTGAGGAAAGAAAGAAGACACAGAGACAAAGTATAGAGAAAGAACAGTGGGCCAGGGGACCGGTGCTCAGCATACGGAGGACATGCGCCAGCACTCGTCTCTGAGTTCCCTCAGTATTTATTGATCACTATCTCTACTATCTCGGCTAAGGGGATGTGGCAGGACTATAGGGTAATGGTGGGCAGAGGGTCAGCAGAAAAACATGTGAGCAAAGGACTCTGTGTCATAAATAAGTTTAAGGAAAGGTGCTGTGCCTTGATGTGCACGTAGGCCAGATTTATGTCTGACTTTACACAAACATCTCAGTGCAGTAAAGAGCAGTATTGCCGCCAGCATATCTCACCTCCAGCCATAAGGCGGTTTTCTCCTATCTCAGTAAATAGAATGTACGATCGGGTTTTACACCAAGACATTCCATTCCCAGGGACGAGCAGGAGACAGATGCCTTCCTCTTATCTTAACTCCAAAGAAGCCTTCCTCTTTCACTAATCCTCCTCAGCACAGACCCTTCCCTTCCCACGAGGGCATATCTCAGGCTATCTCAGTGGGGAGAAACTTTGGACAACACCCAGGCTTTCTTGGGCAGAGGTCCCTGCGGCCTTCCGCAGTGCATTGTGTCCCTGGGTGCTTGAGACTGGAGAACGGCGATGACTTTTACCAAGCATACTGCCTGCAAACACATTTTTAACAAAGCACATCCTGCACAGCCCTAAATCCATTAAACCTTGAGTCAATACAGCACATGTTTCTGCGAGCACAGGGTTGGGGCTAGGGTTACAGATTAACAGCATCTCAAGGCAGAAGAATTTTTCTTAGTACAGAACAAAATGGAGTTTCTCGTGTCTTCCTTTTTCTACATAGACACGGTAACAGTGTGATCTATCTTTCTTTCCCCCACAATCACACTCTATAGTAATCATTTACAATAACCTGTGAGACTGAGTGAATCCTCAATGTGGGCAGATGTTTTAGTCCTGGAACCCCCCACCCTCACCTGACCCACAGATCACTCACATCGGTTTGCACCATCTGGCAGCGCTGTGCCCGGATCCGGCTCACAAAGCCATACACGTCCACCTTCCGTTCTGTATGCATCATGTCCAGCATGGCATCAATGACGACAAAGGTACCTGTACGCCCTACACCTGCACTGTAGCCAGAGAGCAGGGGGTTATAGGGATGGCCAGCCTGCCTTGTGGGAGCAGATAGGGAGGGGCAACACAGGCAGGGGCTCTTCCTTCAGGGTCTAAATCCTAATTCTGAATGGGGTAGAGCTGGGGCTCTCCAGGAGCCAACAACTCCAGTATGTCCTGAATCCTGACCTCCAGCTAGAAGGGTCCGAAGGCTGCAAAAATACATGGCCAGCACTTGACCCAGTCTTTTGGCTTCATAGCAGGGTCTCCCAACTCCTAATCTTGGAGGACTGCCCTACCCTCCTTCCTCAAGTCATATTCTCCACCCTGCACTAGAACTTGGAGTCTCTGGCTGTTGCGCTGGTGCCCCAGTAGGTCATCTACTCTGTGCCAGCCTCCTCAGCCAGGGCCCTTGTGCTGTTCCCCTGCTCTGGCCATGGGGGCGAAATGTGGGGGTGGGGGTACAAGGGTCAGGCCACACTGACCTGCAGTGGACCACGATGGCCCCTGCATACTGAGGGTTACAGGCCTTCACCTTCTTGAGGAACTTGAGCATGCCGATCGGGGTAAAAGGCACCCCAAAGTCTGGCCAGCTGGTAAAGTGGAACTGAGTGATGAGGCGCTGTGGCTTTCTGTTGGTCATGTCGCCCACCTGTGAAGTGAGGAGATCCTGTGTGTTGGCCCTGATACCCAAGGGTGGGCAGTACCAGGGGAGGGAAGGTGACAGCTGTGGTTGTCAGTGACAATGGAAAAGTAAGTGTACCCAGGGGAGTTAGTTAACCACAGACACAAGGTCTCACAACTAGTCAGTGGCAGGGTCAGAACTAAAATGCAGTGCTCCCAGCTAAGTCCTCTTTTCGCAGTACCACACTGCCCCTTGGCTGAAGGTGACCTTTGCTCAGGTCTCCAGGGTTGCCTGGAGGGCCAGGGGCAGGCCCATCACATCCTTGATGTCAGGAGTCTTTGGAGTAGGAAAGGAGGAGAAAGGTGAGTCAAGCACCTAGGAGACTGCACTGCCTCCCCATGCTCCCTTTCCACAGTGCTTGGTCATATCTAAATGATCAGACTTCATCTCAACAGGTAATTTTTCACCAGTCATGAAAATACTGCTCCTTTAGCTTTGACAGACAAGTTCCCCTGAGCCCGGATATCTGGTTTCAGAATTCACATACTGCATACTCAGCAACTCCTGACCACAGCGGGATGATCCAGCCTGTTCCCTCTTACTGGTCAGCAGATCCAACATAAGAACTGAGAAAGGACAGAGGAGACACTACCTGCTGGATGCAGAACTTCCGTACTGTGTAGTCCACCAGGACAGTCACATCCTCTACAGACACCCGAATATTCCCATAGGTCCAGCAGCCTTGGTCTGGCCAGTACTGGGCGCACTTGCACTGGAAAGAAAAAGACATACATTCCCTGACCTTAGACCTCCTGCCCATGGCAGATGCAAAGGGCCTGGAAGGAAGAGCCCACAAAGCCCAGATTAAAGTCCCCCAGAAGGCCCTTTGACCTCTTCTCTATCTCAGTCAGTTGCACACTTACTTATTCAAATTTGCCCTTTTCTCAAGTTCCTTAGCCGCCATCCTATTGAGCACAGTCTCCTAACTTACACACAGCCCTAGCCCCATACTTCTCAATGTTTCCCACCCACACTCCCTTGGTTCAGGGCGAATCTGAAGCCATCTTACCTACAAAATCTGCACTTTCACAACATTTCAGGTCATGCTCTAGGAGAAAGCCTGTTTGAACCCCTCGAACCAGCAGTCTGCTATGAGGGGGCCACCAGGGTAGACTGATGCAGACTGTAAACCTGCCATGAGAGGCCTAGAGCTTTTTCTGTTGCCTGAGCTTTGGATAGCTTCCAAGAGCAAGAGGTTTGGTTGGAGGAAACTAACCTAAAGCCCAGCCCTAGCACTGTCTTCCCATGCCACTGTGGAGCTGTTGATCATGACACCCGATACCCTAGGATCAAGGTGACTCAAGGGCCATCCTTGAGAAACACGGTAACAAATAGGTATTCCTCGCTGGGGCTCGACCCCAGGACCCAGAATTGGCTCTGGCTGTGGCCCAGTGATAGAGCTGGTTAGGCCAGGCATGCACTTGGTAGCCACAAAAGGAAAAGGCCCAGTTAGGAGGCTGCCTCCAGGATTAGGCCAAGGCCTCAAATTCCCTTTGGCTTGCAGGGTCTCAGTTCATAAAGCTCCCTCTGCTGATCCAGGATATACCAAAGGCCTCAGCAGGTGGGGCAGAAAACCAGGGAAATAAGGAACTAGAGAAACCAGGGGAAAAAAGCTCCTCTGTGGGCCGGGCGTGGTGGCTCACGCCTATAATCCCAGCACTTTGGGAGGCCGAGGTGGGTGGATCACGAGGTCAGGAGATCGAGACCATCCTGCCTAACACAGTGAAACCCCGTCTCTACTAAAAAAAACACAAAAAATTAGCTGGGCGTGGTGGCGGGTGGTACTCGGGAGGCTGAGGCAGAAGAATGGTGTGAACCCGGGAGGCGGAGCTTGCAGTGAGCCGAGATGGCACCACTGCCCTTCAGCCTGGGCGACAGAGCGAGACTCCGTCTCAAAAAACAAAACAAAACAGCTCTCCCTCTCCCTCTCCCCACGGTCTCCCTCTCCCTCTCTTTCCACGGTCTCCCTCCGATGCCGAGCCGAAGCTGGACGGTACTGCTGCCATCTCGGCTCACTGCAACCTCCCTGCCTGATTCTCCTGCCTCAGCCTGCCGAGTGCCTGCGATTGCAGGCGCGCGCCGCCACGCCTGACTGGTTTTCGTATTTTTTTGGTGGAGACGGGGTTTCGCTGTGTTGGCCGGGCTGGTCTCCAGCTCCTAACCGCAAGTGATCTGCCAGCCTCGGCCTCCCGAGGTGCCGGGATTGCAGACGGAGTCTCGTTCACTCAGTGCTCAATGGTGCCCAGGCTGGAGTGCAGTGGCGTGATCTTGGCTCGCTACAACCTCCACCTCCCAGCAGCCTGCTTTGGCCTCCCAAAGCGCCGAGATTGCAGCCTCTGCCCAGCCGCCACCCCGTCTGGGAAGTGAGGAGCGTCTCTGCCCGGCCGCCCATCGTCTGGGATGTGAGGAGCCCCTCTGCCTGGCTGCCCAGTCTGGAAAGTGAGGAGAGTCTCTGCCCGGCCGCCATCCCATCTAGGAAGTGAGGAGCGTCTCTGCCCGGCCGCCCATCGTCTGAGATGTGGGGAGCACCTCTGCCCTGCCGCCCCGTCCGGGATGTGAGGAGCATCTCTGCCTGGCCGCCCCGTCTGAGAAGTGAGGAGACCCTCTGCCTGGCAACCGCCCCGTCTGAGAAGTGAGGAGCCCCTCCGCCCAGCAGCCGCCCGGTCTGAGAAGTGAGGAGCCCCTCCGCCCAGCAGCCACCCCGTCTGGGAAGTGAGGAGCGTCTCTGCCCGGCAGCCACCTCGTCCGGGAGGGAGGTGGGGGGGTCAGCCCCCCGCCCGGCCAGCCGCCCCGTCCGGGAGGGAGGTGGGGGGGTCAGCCCCACGCCCGGCCGGCCGCCCCGTCCGGGAGGGAGGTTGGGGGATCAGCCCCCCGCCCGGCCAGCCGCCCCGTCCAGGAGGTGAGGGGCGCCTCTGCCCGGCCGCCCCTACTGGGAAGTGAGGAGCCCCTCTGCCCGGCCAGCCGCCCCGTCCGGGAGGTGGGGGGGTCAGCCCCCCCGCCCGGCCAGCTGCCCTGTCCGGGAGGGAGGTTGGGGGATCAGCCCCCTGCCCGGCCAGCCGCCCCGTCCGGGAGGTGAGGGGCGCCTCTGCCCGGCCGCCCCTACTGGGAAGTGAGGAGCCCCTCTGCCCGGCCAGCCACCCCGTCCGGGAGGGAGGTGGGGGGATCAGCCCCCCGCCCGGCCAGCCGCCCTGTCCGGGAGGTGAGGGGCGCCTCTGCCCGGCCGCCCCTACTGGGAAGTGAGGAGCCCCTCTGCCCGGCCACCACCCCGTCTGGGAGGTGTGCCCAGCAGCTCATTGAGAACGGGCCATGATGACAATGGCGGTTTTGTGGAATAGAAAGGGGGGAAAGGTGGGGAAAAGATTGAGAAATCGGATGGTTGCCGTGTCTGTGTGGAAAGAAGTAGACATGGGAGACTTTTCATTTTGTTCTATACTAAGAAAAAATCTTCTGCCTTGGGATCCTGTAGATCTGTGACCTTACCCCCAACCCTGTGCTCTCTGAAACATGTGCTGTATCCACTCAGGGTTGAATGGATTAAGGGCGGTGCAAGATGTGCTTTGTTAAACAGATGCTTGAAGGCAGCAGGCTCGTTAAGAGTCATCACCACTCCCTAATCTCAAGTACCCAGGGACACAAACACTGCAGAAGGCCGCAGGGTCCTCTGCCTAGGAAAACCAGAGACCTTTGTTCACTTGTTTATCTGCTGACCTTCCCTCCACTATTGTCCTGTGACCCTGCCAAATCCCCCTCTATGAGAAACACCCAAGAATGATCAATAAAAAAACAAAACAAAACAAAACAAAACAACAACAAAAAAAACCCCTCTGTGGCTTTTCCTTAGCTGATGGCCCAAGTCAGTCTCTTTCAGGCTGTTCTGGAACCAGGGTGAGTTGTTTGACTACCAAATACAGGGAATGTGCTCTAGGCACACACCTGAGGTTCATATCTGGGGCTTCCAGGCCATAGCAAAGTCTGATAGACTTCAGCCTGTGTCTTTCTGGATGAACTACTGGTACAGCACCCACAAAGGATAGACAGCCAGGCTTAAACTCAGAGCTTATATGCAGAGTGATCCTTCTGCTGTTCACATCCAATTTTTCCACTTACCTCCTTTCTCTCCTTCAGGTTGGTAACCATGACGATGGTGGCTGTGTTTTGTTCCCAGATCATCCGCCAGAAATCATTCACCGTTTCTTCTTTTGGTCCTAAAGTAGCCAACAGCAAAAATGAAGAGAATATACACCAAGAAGAAAGATGCTGGGAGGCTGGGAACATCCATTCCTGACTTTTGGAAGCTTGTGCCCAAATGTCCCCAGCTAAATATCTAACCCATGTATCCATCCACCCCGTTACTAATTGAGTATTTTCCATGTTTCTACCATGTATGTGCCAGGCACTGCACAAGGATGGGGCTGGGTGGAAGGCTGTCAAAAATATAAACAGAACACGAATGATGTCTCCCAAGGATATTACAGTTGGGAATTAGAAATCATGACTGCTCACAGAATACCTACATTATGGACCTGACAGTGAGCTAAGTGCTTCATATGGCATTTACTCCTTCCTATTATGCTCTGAGGTGGGTGTCATCAGCCCCAGAAAGGTTGGATGACTTGTTCAGGCTAGAATTCAAAATTTACCTCCCATATAACCTTTTTCGGAAAGTCACTAGAAAATTCTAAACAAAAATGAGAGGCAAACAGAGGAAAATAAATGAGATCCAACACAGCAGAGAGGCTAACGGAATTCCCAGGGTACTGGTCTTAGAATGATAACTCTGCCAGAGGATAGAGAGCAACCAATCCACAATGCAACTGAAGAAAGAAGATTCTAGAAGGATCCCAAGATAAAAAAATTAAACCTCATGTATCTAAAGGTACTGAGAGAAGATATATACTTCTGGTAAAGAGTTTGGGAGGAAAATCAGTAGTAGGTATATAAAAAACACAATGACTAAAAAAGAAGGGGGAAAAAAACTATACAAAAAATAACATAATACTGTGTGTTTCGGCTGTGAATATTTGTAAACTCATAATAATAATAAATACCTTAACCCCAAATTGTGATTTGACTCTTCTGGGAGAATGGGGAGGATATGTGGGTACACGTCTGTCTGACTGAGGGGGAGGTGCTCTGTAAGGGGATCAGATGATGTCATCTATCATAAGAAGCCAATAGATAAAAATGGTTGCCCCAGGGGCATTAGACTAAAAAAGTGAAAAGAAAAGGGAGGAGAACTTTGTTTTTATAAATCTTGTAGTCCCTAATGACTCTTTTTCTTGAGACAAAGTCTCACTCTGTCACCCAGGCTGGAGTACAGTAGTGCAATCTCAGCTCACTGCAACCTCTGGCTCCCGGGTTCATGTGATTCTTGTGCCTCAGCCTCCCAAGTAGCTGGGATCACAGGTGTGTGCCACCACGCCTGGCTAATTTTTAGTAGAGACGGGGTTTCACTATGTTGCCCAGGCTGATCTTGAACTCCTGGGCTCAAACGATCCTCCTGTCTTGGCCTCCCAAAGTGTTAGGATTACAGGCATGAGCCACCCTGCCCGGCCTCAATTACTTTTTAATGCTGCAAACATCCAGATATTTTTGCTAGGGTTCAAAGAGTGAAGACAGTTGTTAGAACAGCAGGCCTGGAAATGTGTGTAGAACACATAAAGGACATGGTGCTGGGTCCCTGATCTGAGGGTTCCTAGACCAACTATCTGTGAATAATGGTGAGGCTCAGGCCCATGAGCTGGGGGAGAACCAGCCTGGACCCTGTGAGGTGGCTGATCCTCTCTGGAAACTGATTCCTAATTCAAACTCTGAGCAGCCTGGCTGGAACCTAAGGTTAACTAGCCCCAAGGACAGAGGGCCTTATTAGACTGTGTTTTGTGTATACAGCCTTTTCCAGTCTTTTTAATATACATACACAAAAAGACTTCTTTTAATGGATCCCTGGATACTAAGTCATCAAGATGAAGGCTGTTAGCTGTAAACCTGTATAATGGATTATAATTCTTTCAGGTGGTAAAAAGTACAGAAAAGCTACAGCATTCTGGTTAATCCACTCAGCATTTGGGAGAAAAAAACCAAACCCATTATGTGATCATGGTTAAATCTAACAGAAAAAAGTTGTCATTACTTTACCTTGTGCAGCAATGAATTTGTTCTTTTCTTGGTAGCCCTGGGGTGTGGGGAAGGAAAGAAAAAGAAAGAGAAAACCAAAAATGAATAGAAATGAAATTCTCCAGTCTGACTCCAACCAGTTAACAAAACCTGAAAATGTGCAGGTACTTAACGGGGATTTCCAGTCTAGATATTCACAAGGGATTAGCTTTAGAGCTAGGAATTAGAGATTACAAAACTCAAATAGTCTAGGTAGTCTTCTCAAATTGAATTATTAATAAATACTAGAATAAGAAATCCAGGCCAGGCGTGGTAGCTCACACCTGTAATCCCAGAACTTTGAGAGGCCAAGGTGGGCGGATCATCTAAGGTCAAGAGTGTGAGAGCATGGGGCCAACATGGTGAAACCCCATCTCTACTAAAATACAAAAATTAGCCGGGCGTGGTGGTGCACTCCTGTAATTCCAGCTACTAGGGTGGCTAAGGCAAGAGAATTGCTTGAACCTGGGAGGTGGAGGTTGCACTGAGCCAAGCCAAGATTGCGCCACTGCACTCCAGCCTTGGTGACAGAGCAAGACTCCATCTCCAAAAAAAAAAAAAAAAGAAAAAGAAAGAAAGAAAAAAGAAATCCAAATACTGACTCCCAGATTAGACCATGTTTCTGATGCTTTATCAGCAGCTAACAATGTAGATTTCAGTGTTAACAGGTTAAGAACCCACCAGGGGAAAAGCATATGTGGTGGTTCCAGGGATGAAGCTGGGTTCACTCTGGGAAAGAAAACAGGTTATTTTCTCAAGGATGCTTTACCCAGGTGCAAAATCTTTCTGGGAATAGCCTGTGAGTGTGGTGAAGTAGCTCCCAGTGTTTAACAAGAGGCTTCTCTATCACAGGCAGTGGGGGACAAGAGCAAGGGAGCCTGGGGTGCCACTCAACAGATAAGGAGCCTCGGAAAAACTAACAACTGGCCGCAGCTTTCTTTTTCAGTCTTTATTGCTCCAGTTATACATCTTTTCAACGTCATTGTTTAAATGTATGTTCAATTCAGAAGTTCTAGGTAAGAGAAAGCCACTTGATTTAAGGATTGTGAATCACCCATTTCCTTTCTCAGACAGCAATAAGGTGAGTAACAAGGGAGGCAGCTTCAGGGATGGGACACCATGTCACACCAACACCAGGGTGGCAATGTGAACTACAAGGCTGCAAGGCAGTGGCCAAATATAAGAAGTGGCCTAAATCTGAGGAGCCACTTTCTTTTTTTTTTTGAGACGGAGTCTTGCTCTGTCACCCAGGCTGGAGTGCAGTGGTGCGATCTTGGCTCACGGCAACCTTCTGCTCCCGGGTTCAAGTGATTCTCCTGCCTCAGCTTCCCAAGGAGCTGGGATCACAAGCATGAGCCATCACGGCCGGCTAATTTTTGTATTTTTACAAAAATTAGAGATGGGGTTTCACCATGTTGGCCACGCTGCTCTCGAATTCCTGAACTCAGATGATCCGCCCACCTTGGCCTCCCAAAGTACTGGGATTACAGGTGTGAGCCACCGTGCCTGGTCTGAGGAGCCACTTTCAATTTCAGTTCAAACAAGGGCAGGGCAGGGTTGCTGCCCAACACAGAAGGAGAAAGCTTTAGGCCTCAGAGATGGATATGTTTAGTCAGCAACAAAAGACTTGTTAAAGTTTTCATTGAGAAGAGCAATTTAAGTTTCAACAAATGTTTTTATTTATTAGAGAATGGAAATGGAAATAGCCTTAATTCTGGATGTTAAATTCTGCTTATATTACTAAACTTATAATTAAAACTGAGAAGTCCTTAAGAATACGTTAAGCGCATCATATTCCTGCTCCATGAGGAGTCACTGCTAAATTCTCATTGCAGCATGCGGGCCCTGAACAGCCTGAACACCTGGTTGGAAGGCCCAGCCCCAAAGTGCTTCCTGCCCCATCTTACCAGGAGTGCGTCATATGCCTTCCTGAAAACATGCTTGTACAGTGATGTGGCGGCACTGCTTAACTAATACAGAGTAATGAGAATGAAGCAAAGCCACTGATCTTGTGTTCTGTTCAAGGGAAAGATGAAATGTGGCTCCCTGGCTCCTGAGATGTCTCTAGATTCTGAAAGCTGAATCTCAGTGGGCTCTAGGTGGTAGCTACATTCCTACCTCTAAAAAGAAACACGTCTAAAGATCCTATATATTCTAGGCTGGGCGCGGTGGCTCATGCCTCTAATCCCAACACTTTGGGAGGCCGAGGTGGGCAGATCACCTGAGGTAGGGAGTTTGAGGCCAGCATGACCAACATGGAGAAACCCCATCTCTACTAAAAATACAAAATTAGCAGGTGTGGTGGTGCATGCCTGTAATCTCAGCTACTTGGGAGGCTGAGGCAGGAGAATTGCTTGAACCCCGGATGCAGAGGTTGTAGTGAGATCGCGCCATTGCACTCCAGCCTGGGCAACAAGAGTGAAATTCCGTCTCAAAAAAAAAAAAAAATCCTATATATTCTTAGACATCTAAAAATGAGTAAGGAAACTGGTTTCTCCTAAGGCTCTAGGCTGGAAGCCCACCTGCCAACTGTGCCACTGCCTCTGTTTCATCTCCTCCTGTGAACAGTGTTAGGTTAGCTGACCTATGTGTTTCCCAAACTACAGACCCCACTTTCCTAGGCCTTTCACCACTACTCCATGGTGCCTAGTTCCCTTCAAGATCCATGTGTGTGGTCTCAGTTCTCTACGCAAAAAGTTAAGTGATGGCCGGGGGGTGAGAATGGAGATTAATTGTATTTAGACACTGAGGTTCTTTTTGGGGTGAGCAATGTGTTCTAAAACTAAGGGGGCAACAGCTAGAGTGTAAGGTTCTTCTTTTGAGGGGATGACAATGTTCTAAAATTGGTGATGGGCTGCAGTTATATGTGAATATACTTAAAAAAACACTGAATTGTAAACTCTGGGTGAAATACATGGTATTTGAATTACATCTCAATAAAGTTGTTAGAAAATGTTCTAAGACATTTATGGTGATGGCTGCATAACTTGGTAAACTTACCAAAAAATCACTGAATTCTCACTTAAAATGGGTGAATTTTATGTTATATATATTATACCTCAATGTTAGGGGAAAAAAAGGGTTTGATAAGTGTTAACTAGCAGCCCACAAAAAGGATGCAACAAACGGCCTCTGAATTTGCTTCAGCAAAGGATGCTGCCCTACACACTAAGTCCAAAGAAAATCTGTTCCTCTTTCCCACTGATCTCTAATCTGCACATAACCCTCTTCACTGCCAAACACTTCCTGAGCCATGCTTTATCTTTGCCTTCTCAGATGCTCTCTTCTCTTGGTCTCCTTCCATCTCACCCATGAGCACCTGTTCAATGTGCCTGGCAGGGGCTGTGGGCCCAAGGGCTCTGTTCTTGGCCCACTCCTTTATTACTTCCAAGTCCACAGCTCTAGATATGACCAACTGTATGCTGGATACATCTACATGGATATATCACCCTCTACTCTCTCATATATAAATCAACCACCAATTCCTGCTAAATTCTACCTCCACGTAGTTTTCACTTTGTCGCCGCTTCCTTGTCAACCCTCATCATTTGTGATCTACCTGCTATTGCAATAGCCCCCAATTGGCCCCTCCTAAATCCATGTTGTACATGATAGCCCCAGTGATCAATATGTAAATGTGGTCACACTACTCCCTGCCTTGAACACTTTTCAATGGTACCCCACGGCCTAGATAAATTCATCAAAACCGCTCAGCTGTACTGAAAACTGGCAGACACTATTAGGTGGTTCACTTAGTACCCACTCCTGCTCCCTTCTAGCTTGACTATCTTACAGCTACATTTCCCAGACTCCCTAGCAGCTCAGCAATCCACGAGACCTAGCTTCTTCCTAGCAGATGCTCCCACACAAGACTTGGGGTAGAAATGAGCAACATGAGATAACGACTGTGCTAGAAATCTGGTCTTTGGGCAAGCACGGTAGTAGAAGCATCCAGTTCTTCTGCAGCACTGTGCAGAGGTTTCACTATGACAGTCACATGCTGCATAGATCTATAGCTGCTCTGCTCTTTGCTGAGCAGCATCTGAGCTTGGCTCACTGGCTCTTCCCCAGGTTTTGTTAAGGTACCCAGTATCTTATAATAAACCCCTTTCTGCTTAAAAGAGTGGATGAAAAGTACACTCTATAGTCTGCAAGTAAGAACTCCAATGGACACACTTGACATCCACTACCTTTCAAGATCAAGTCTCATTTCCCACCACTTCCCATCTTATACCTTATAACCTAAGACTGCTGTTTCTAGTCTCTGTGACTTTGCTCATGTTTCTCCTTTGCTTTGAAGTTTCTGCCCAACTTTCTTCTCCTGAACTCTGACTCACTCTTCAATAATGAGCTCTACTGGGTTACCAGGCTGGGCTGAATGTTTTTTCTCATAACTCCACAGAACCTGGCAATACCTCCTTTGCACACGTAGCACATTACAGGAAACAACCTAACTACCTGTGTAGTATATGAGGGATTACATCTTACCTCTGTAACCTTTAAGCCTACCCACAGTGCTTGGCACACAGCAGGTGCTCAAAAAATGTTGACTGAGTTTAATAAACTGTGAAATCCAAATCTTTAATCCCTGCTTCCCACTTATGGTTAACCACAGGTTTTTCCCTGCTTTTGTTCCTTCACTGAGTTCATAAGGTCCCCCATTTAACCCTCTTCATGTAAACTCTGCCTACTAATAACTGTCTAATAACCATCAAGGCATTATGGAATGCCCTAGTGTAAGCTCTAAATAAACATGGTCAAGGGATAAGGCTGTTTCTTTCTACTGTGCCATTACCATGAAGAGATCCCCATCTCAGCTGCTTAACAGCCTTAACATACAATTAACTTTTGTCAGTTTTCACCTTCAATGTGGGAAGGGACCAAACTGGTTACGGTGGCAGATGCTGCTGGTTACTAACTCAAATCCATTCCTCCCTTTCTTCTTTGCCATTAGAGCCACAATTTTGTTTGGACATTAACCTTTCACTGGCTTGGAAGGTGCCCATTCCCCAGGCTCAGAGGGGTAAATCATGATCATTCTCAATGTCCTAGCCAGTGATTAGAGAGGGATGTGAACATGTGATCCAATCCTGGCCTGCTGGTCCTGAGGACAGGGTGGTGGGGAGGATTCCGTGAAAAGCCTTGCTCCCTAACAGAGAGAAAAGCATAGGCAGATATGTTCCTCTTCTGTGCTGGATGCTGTGTTTATTTTTTTTATTTTTTATTTATTTATTTTTTTTGAGACAGAGTCTCGCTCTGTCGCCCAGGCTGGAGTGCGGTGGCGTGATCTCGGCTCACTGCAAGCTCCGCCTCCCAGGTTCACGCCGTTCTCCTGCCTCAGCCTCCCAAGTAGCTGGGACTACAGGTGCCCGCCACCACGCCCGACTAATTTTTTGTATTTTTAGTAGAGACGGGGTTTCACCGTGTTAGCCAGGATGGTCTCGATCTCCTGACCTTGTGATCCGCCCGCCTCGGCCTCCCAAAGTGCTGGGATTACAGGCGTGAGCCACCGCACCCGGCTGGATGCTGTGTTTATGAGGAATGCTTGGGACTGCTGCAGCCATCTTGTGGCCATGAGACTGTTGACAGGGCTAAGGATAACTGAGTAGAAAGATGGAAGCACCTGGTTTTGTAAGTATGTCACTGACCCATGGAATCAGCCAACTCAAGAACTGGTCTCCATTTGCTTTCACAGTATATGAGACAAATAAATGTTCCAGCTGGGCACGGTGGCTCACGCCTGTAATCCCAGCACTTTGGGAGGCAGAGGCAGGTGGATCACTTGAGGCTCAGAGTTCAAGACCAGCCTGGCCAGCATAGCAAAACACCGTCTCTACTAAAAATACAAAAAATTAGCTGGGCATGGTGGCACATGTCTGTAATCCTGGCTACTAGGGAGGCTAAGGCATGAGAATCGCTTGAGCCCGGGAGGCAGAGGTCGTAGTAAGCCAAGATCGTACCAGTGCAATCCAGCCTGGGTGTCGGGGTGAGACTGTCTCCAGAAAAAAAAAAAATGTTCCCATCTAGACAACTTTTAGTTGAGTATTCTCTTACCCGCAGCTGGACACACTAACTGATCTTGCTCTTCTCTTCTGCATAACATTAAAGTCAACCTATTCCACCTAATCTCTTCATCATGATCTTCGATGTAAGTTCTAGGAATTCCTGCTGATTACTAGCCTTTCTCCATTTTCCTTATCGACTACAACAATTATTTGTCTAGTCAGGGTCCCTTTCCTTAAAACTACAAACATGTAACCATTAATGTTAAACATACATACAGGAACTTCAGCAAATTCACTCCAGTGAGAATGCCCGGACTGCCCCATTTTTGAAGTCCATCTAATAGCCTATTTTTTGGACACAACCTCCTGTTCTTTCACTTTCTCAAGATCTCCAGTTCCTCAATCCTACCACCTTAGGAATAGTTGTTTATTCCTAACAACTTCCTAACGCTTTTCTTTTCTACTGAAACTGAAGCCCTTGGCTGACTACTTGAAGCAGCCACTGACCTTCCCTTTTGTCTGAGTACCACATGTCCTCTGCATTTACCACCAATCCCAGGGTGCAGATGAAGAAAAAAAAAATCACACAACTCAGCACCCCCCACCCCCATCAATGACATCCCACTAGACATGTCCTTTGCTTTCTCTCTTTGGTATCCTTTTCTCAGGGACCTCAGAAGCTGTTCTAAACTTTCGAAGCTCTCATGTCACAGTCCCATCTCATTTGTTCAGTACACAACCATGAGCACACGGGTGAGTTGCCTCAACTTGCTTTACCCACACCTACGAGTCGTCTCTATCCATTCTGTCCTCTCCTTTATCTTCACTCTCAGAGGAAGAAACAGCCCTTCTTATGTTCACACTAATCTCTCCATCAGTGTCCTTTTTTTTTCTTGTGGTAAAATACAACATAAAATTTACGATTTTAGCCATTTTGACTCTTCTTTTTTTTTGAGACAGTCTCACCCTGTCGCCCAGGCTGGAGTGCAGTGGCGCCATCTCGGCTCACTGCAACCTCCGCCTCCCGGGTTCAAGCAATTCTCTGCCTCAATCTCCCAAGTAGCTGGGATTACAGGCGCCTGCCACCACGCCCGGCTAAGTTGTTTTTTTTTTTTTTGTTTTTTTTTTTTTTTTAGTAGAGATGAGGTTTCACCATCTTGGTCAGGCTGGTCTCAAACTTCTGACCTCAAGTGATCCACCGCCTTGGCCTCCCAAAGTGCTGAGATTACAGGTGTGCCACCGTGCCCGGCTGATTTTAGCCATTTTAAGTGTACAGTTCTGTAGCATTAAGTATATTCACGCTGTCGTGCAACCATCACCACCATCCGTCTACAGAACTTTTTCATCTTCCCCAGATGAAACTCTGTACCCACTCCTCATTCCTCCCTCCCCCAGCAACCACTATTCTACTTTCTGTCCCTGTGAATTTGACTACTCTACATATGTATATATAGTTTATATTCTATATGTAGAATCATACAATATTTGTCCTTTTGTGACTGGCTTATTTCACTTACCATGATGTCTTCCAGGTTCATCCATGTTGTAGCATGTATTAGAATTTCCTTCCTTTTAAAGGCTGAATAACATTCCACTGTATGCATGTACCACATTTAATTTATTCACTCATCCGTCAATGGACACTTGGAGTGCTCCCACCTGGCTTTTAGGATTAATGCTGCTATAAACATGCAAGTGGAAATTTTATCCAGTCTTCTCATGCATTTTGCATCAGGAGTCAGACTTGCTTTTGCCAGCTTTCCCTCTCTCTTTTTTCTGTTCAAATTCACTCTCTCTACAGGATGCTTCCCCCAAACCTATAAAACATATTCTTAACTCTTTATGTGTTTTTTCAGGCTACTGCCAAAGACAAAACCAACCAAACAAAAACCTCAAATCTCTCATACAGACTGTTCTATAAACATTCTCTAAATCATCTTTAAAAACCTCCTCTTAGTATCAGCTCTTCCCTCAGGCCTTGGTTCATATATGGCTAACCAGATAGTCATATATATATATATATACACACACACAGACACACACACACACATATATACATACACACACATATATAATATAGCTGGTGTCATGTCAGGTATTCTTGTCCTGTTCTCCCTTATTTTTACTGTTGAGGGCAAGGCCTGCTTTTGTTTGTAATTAGAATCAGCTCAATAAAGGATTCACTGACTCTTATCACAAAATACATATTTAGACACAGATTTCTACATGGGAAACCATAGGGAATGACGACAGGGTAAATATAGAAAATGATTAAAACTATTTGACTGACCTTAAAAAAAAATTCAGTCACTTAAAAAAACCAGACTTGTCAGGGAAAACATGAAATGACAAATATTTCTCCTAACACACAGCTGGGGAGGAGCCAACAGATAGTGGCAATGGTCAGGCAGGGAAGTGACAGGGAAAGCACCCGATCCTTACGTTGATGAATGAAGCATTGATGTAATCAGAATCTGGAACCCCTTCAACCGGTGTCAGGTGGACTCTAGAGTGGTCATCTAGGAAACAAACCAACAATATTTCAGTAAAATCAAAATTTATTTCTCACAGAACCTGACGCAACCAGGACAGTTGAGACATCTGTGCCTATGTGCACAGACTCACGCTTGTATAAAGATGCCACTCCAACAATATAACTCCAACAGTATAACAGCAAAAAATTGGGAATACCTTAAGTATCATTAGGGGACTAGTTAAATAAATTAAGATGCATCTACAATGTGGAATACTAAGTAGTTGAGAAAAAAGAAAGTTTCTTGACAGATGAACTGACAATATATACTATTAAAAGAGAGAAATGTGTACAGTATACCAATCATATTAAAAAATATGTATTATATATACACATACCCACACCCACACACATACACACATCCCCCTCCTCCAACATGTGCACATAAATAAGAAGACAAGGCCGAGCATGGTGGGTCACGCCTATAATCCTAGCACTTCAGGAGGCAGAGGCGGTGCATCACTTGAGGTCAGGAGTTCCAGACCAGCCTGGCCAACATGGTGAAACTCCGTCTCTACTAAAAATACAAAATTAGCTGGGTGTGGTGGCATGTGCCTATAGGTAGTCCCAGCTACTTGGGAGGCTGAAGCAGGAAAATGGCTTGAACCCAGGAGGTAGAGCCTGCAGTGAGCCAAGATCGTGCCACTGCACTCCAGCCTGGGTGACAGAGCGAGAAAGAAAAAAGAAAAAGACAAAAGTATCTGTAAATGCATAGTGTAGTGGTCCTAATTTTTTGGTTCCATACTTCACTTATAAAAATGTGAGCAGGCATCTCTAATACATGCTCATTTATTGATAAATTATGCACATATGCTAATGTATGATATACCCTGAAATATAAAATTTTTAGGGTCTAGATGTGGTGGCTCATGCACGTAATCCCAATTCTTTGGGAGGTCAAAGTGGGAGGACTGCTTGAGGCCAAGAGTTTGAGACCAGGCTGGGTAACACAGCAAGACCCTGTGTCTAAAAAATAATCAGCCAGGCATGGTAGATGCACCTGTAGTTCTAGTTACTCAGCAGGCTGTGGCAGGAGGATTACTTGAGCCCAGGAATTCGAGGATACATATCTATGATCACATCATTGCACCCCAGCTTGGGTGGCCCTGTCTCTAAAAAAATAAATGAAATAAAAAATTTAAAAGGATGAATTTTTAAAAGGCAAATATACTGGCTGGGCTCACTGGCTCATGCTTGTAATCCCAACACTTGGGAGACCAAAGCAGGAGGACTGTTTGAGGCCAGGAGTTTGAGATCAGCCAAGGCAACACAGCAAGACCATCTCTACAAAAAATTAAAAAAAAAACATTTTCACAGGTTCTGAGGATTAGGAATTTTTTTTTTTTGAAAAGCAAATATAAAAATCAAGTGAGGTTCAAACATCTTCCTCTCATATCTCATTAAATTATGCATATCCCATTCTGGATACCAATGGACTAGAAAAATGTCTGTTAGCTTATGGATCAACTGATTAGCAATGGCTAACTCTGGGAAGGGTTTATACAGAGAACTCTGCATTAGAATTTCTTTCAATGAATACCACAAAAAACCATCTCTACCACCACCATTACCCCCTGCTTCCTGCCTGATCCTAGTGAAGCTGTTCTCCAGGACCTCCTAGAAACTTTAGGCCTGACACAAAAATCCTCCTGGATCATCCTAATTGACTCTGAGTATGTGGGATCCATAAAGGCTCTTTCAGCCCAAAGTCTTCAACCTACTCTTATTTATTTATCTTATTTATTATTATTTATTTCATTTCTTTTACTTTATTTTTTTGAGACACGGTCTTGCCCTGTCACCCAGGCTAGAATGCAGTGACACGATCTTGGGTCACTGCAACCTCTGCCCCCCTGGGCTCAAGGGATCCTCCTACCTCAGCCTCCTGAGTAGCTGGGACGACAGACACACACCACCATGCCTGGCTAATTTTTTAAGGTTTTTGTAGAGATGAGGTCTCACTATATTGCCCAGGCTAGTTTCAAACTCCTGGGCTCAAGAGATTCTCCCACCTTGGCCTTCCAAAGTTCTGGGATTACAGGTATGAGCCACTGAGTACTGCCATGAACGCACTCTTGTTATTCACCCTGCTGTGCCCAATTGCAAGATTCTTTCCATCTTCAGAAAATCCCTCCAGAGATGTAATTTCAGGTTACATCCCAAGAAACACTAAAGACACTCACAAGGCAAGATGTTTACATATCGATTTTTTTCCTTGTTTTCCTCCTTGGAAGCAGCCTCACAGGTGGCCTGGATAGGACATGCAGGGAGAGCCTGAAAGGTTAAGAGAAATTAGAGGAATTATTAGCAGGGATAAACATCAAACATGCAAACTGCTGCACCAAACCCTGACCTGGTAGCATGTTCTACCTTTTCCTGGGGGGAAAAACATGGGCCCAGGTGAATACCTGCAGCCTAACACAGAGAATGCTCCTCTCCCCCGAAACAGCCACAAGCTCCTTAGAGTTCAACAACACAAGAATCCTCAGGGGGCAGAATGCCCTTTCTGTTATGTAAGTATAGCATGCTCTTTCCATGATTACTATGTGGTTAGCAGCCTGTTGTTATGATACTGGGCCAAAAGGGCCTACCCTTGTAAATTGGAATGGGGACATACCTGAAGGAATGGGCCATTTATCCTCATGCTAATTACCACCACACAAAGATGACATGCATCTCAGAGTGAACCACACAGGAAGGTTCTGGATGGCCAGCTGATTTAATCTCTTCCTAGGGATCTAAGGGGGCATGGCACCCCAGCCTCTAGCATCATGTGGCAAGGAAGCAAGGACTGGTGGGTGGGTGGGAGGGCATTCATATAGATGCAGCAGTTAAGAAGCAGAAGATTTGGGTGAGGTGACATTAAATTTGCAGCAGTTCTGGAGCAAATGTAGATTAGTTAGTGCAGGGAGGTTATCACACAATGATCTGACATGAGATAGTCTGTGTTTGTATGAACTTGAGCACATCTGTTAAAATTTCTAGGTCCAGTTTCCTCATCTGTAAAATTGGGGCCGGGTGAAGTGGCTCACGCCTGTAATCCCAGCACTTTGGGAGGCTGAGGCGGGTGGATCACCTGAGGTCAGGAGTTCGAGACCAGCCTGGCTAACAAGGCGAAACCCTGTCTCTACTAAAAAGACAACAATTAGCTGGGTATGGTGGTGCACACCTGTAACCCCAGCTACTCAGGAGGCTGAGGCAGGAGAATCGCTTGAACCTGGGAGGTGGAGGTTGCAGTGAGCCAAGATCACGCCATTGTACTCCAGCCTAGGCGACAGAGCGAGACTCCGTCTCAAAAATAAATAATAAATAAATACATAAAATTGGAACAACAACATCTGCCACATAAGGAAATAATCTCATGTGTAGCAAAGAATAAGTATTCAAATAAATGAGTTTTATCAGAGTGGGAAGCTAAATTTTATTATTTGATCTGTTCTCCTCTTGTATGTTTCATATATTCAAAATTAAGGATGAAAAAAGGAGCTGGGTGTGGTGGCTCATGCCTGTAATCCCAGCACTTTGGGAGGTAGAGGTGGGAGGACTACTTGAGGCCAGAAGTTTGAGACCAGCCTGGGCAACACAGCAAGACCTCGTCTCTACATTAAAAAAAAAAAAAAAAAAAAAAATAGCCAGGTATGGTGGTGCATGCCTGTAGTCCCAGCTACTCAGAAGGCTGAGGTGGGAGGAACACTTCAGCCCAGGAGTTCAAGGCCATGATTATACCACTGCACTCCAGCCTGAGTGACACAGTGAGACTCTGACACTATAAAAACAAACAAGAAAGCAAAAAGGGAGGCACTTTAAAATTCCAACACTAATTCCGAGTAAGTGACTTGGAAATTACATTTTATGAGCCTTAAAAAAACTTTTCAAAAATACTTTTTGGCCTAGCAACTTCAATTTTGAGAACATACCCTTAGGAAATAAAAATCTTTATGTCCTAATTATTTACTTCATCATTATTTAGAATGACCCAAAACTGAGAACAACCGTAGTATTCAGCAGTAGAGGAACAATTCATGCATTACTTTTCATTCATTCTTTCAACAAATATATATTTTGTACCTACCAGGCACTGGGCTAGATACAGAGCAAAGAGTGGGGAATCAAATATAAGTGCAGTTCTCGCCCTCAAGGACAATATAAACTTGTGGGTGAAAAGCAGACATTAAACAAATAAAACAAATACATATATAATTATATACCATGATGAATGCAATCAAAGAACAGAATGCTACTAGAGATGAAGTATCAGAAAGCACCAAATTTGGATTACAGGTGGGTCTCTCTGAGGAAGGATGAGTATAGAAAATAGTATTCCAGACACAGAGAACAGCATCTGTGGTAACCCAGAGGTGGAAGAAGGCTTGGTTGTGTGAGGAACCGAAAATCAGTGCAGGTATCACGCAGAAGGTGAGGTTGATGGGGATGGCAGGAGGAAGTAGGAAGAGATGAGCCTGGCAAAGTCAGATCATCCATTTCCAGGTAGGTCCTTGAATAGGGAGTTCAAATTTTATGTTAAGTGCATAAGGAAATCATTGAAGGTTTTTAAAGTGTGATCCATTTTCCATGTTAAAGAATTACTTGTTATTGTATGGAAAATGGACTAGAGAGGAGCAAGAAGAGAAGCATGGAAAAATGATGATACAAGGAAATGGATGCATTTGAGACATATTCTGGAATTAGAATTACTACATTTGGGCCAGGCGCGGTGGCTCACGCCTGTAATCCCAGCACTTTGGGAGGCCGAGGCGGGTGGATCATTTGAGGTCTGGTGTTCGAGACCAGCTGACCAACATGGTGAAACCCCATCTCTACTAAAAATACAAAAAATTAGCCAGGTATGGTGGCACATGCCTGTAACCCCAGCTACTTGGGAGGCTGAGGTAGGAGAACTGCTTGAACCCGGGAGATGGAGGTTGCAGTGAGCCAAGACTGCGCCATTGCACTCCAGCCTGGGCAGAAAGAGCAAAACTCTGTCTCAAAAAAAAAAAAAAAAAAAAATTACTACATTTGGAGATGGAATGAAGGCAAAAGTGGACTGGGAAGAGCAAGAGGCAGAAATGAAGAATGAACGTTTCTGTCTTTGATAATAATTTAAAAAAAGACTGAATAAAGGAAATGCCAACCCAAAGGGAACCAATTTTTTGTCAGATGGAAGCAAGAGTTTTTTGTTGTTTTTTTTTGGAGACAGGGTCTCGCTCTGTCACCCAGGCTGGAGTGCAGTGGCGCCATCATAGCTCATTGCAGCCTTGAACTCCTGGGCTGGAGGTATCCTACTGCCTCAGCCTCCTGAGTAACTGGGACTACAGGCACAGCACCACCATGCCTGGCTAATTTTTTAATTTTTATTTTTGTAGAGGTGGATCTTGCTATGTTGCCCAGGCTGGGAAGCAAGAGCTTTAAGAAAGGAGCAAATATATTTACTGGAAACCAGCATGACAGTGATAGGAGAAATTAAAGTGAAAGACCCAAAGATAGGGAAATTAGGACCTCAAAATCCATCTGCCCTCACCTACTCAAGAGATTTCCTTTCAGATTAAAACCCTGGAGGTTCTGCATGTTATTTTACTAACAGAGGCAATTACCCCTGACCCTATGCTGTGAATACCACAAAAGGAAGAAAAGATTTTCCTGGGCTGGACTCTTACACACGCAGTAGAGACCATTATTTTAGATCAGAATTTCTCAGTTCACCCACAGTTTGCATTCTCTTCCTTCACATAAGATTTCCACAGGTTTCCACCCAAGTACAGGGCAGGATGAGATGTCAGTTTTTTAAGCCCTGATGGCTAATCCAGAGGCACTAGTTTTCCTGTGCATCCCTTCTCTAAAATGTAGAACAGACGTAGGGACAGCAAGACTCTTGAAAACAGTCTTCAATACAAAAATGTCAGGAATAACAAAGACTACATCTCACAGCCCTATCAGCATCCCTAGCTCCCTCAGTCATGATAAAGAAAAACTAGGTCTCCAGGTGGACTAAGGCTCCTAAAAAGAGTCAGGAAGAAACAGGAGCCATTGTTTAACAAGAGAGAAGAAAGGGCTTGCCCTGGAGAACACAGCGCTAGATGCAAAGGTTCAGAATGAAGAGCCTGCGTCACGGATGAAAACAAGGTGAATCCTACTCCTTTTGGTTTCTACTCTGAAAAACCTAGCTCACAGAGCTAGGAAGGAGCAGCTAGAGCAGAAGTCTATAAAATGTTAAACTCTCTAGAAACACTAGGTGGCATCGAAGACCGTTTCATCTCTTGTTTAAGCCTTAACTGGAACCAAGGCTAAGTACTCATTCATTTTTTAAAGACATGTCGGTTAAAAAAAAATTTTTTTTTCACATTTGTTGATATTTATTTTTTAAAAAGTATCCATCACATAATTTAACTTAGAAGCTCTCTTTGGGCTCCTCTCCTTATATCCTCTTCCTTCCCCTCTCACTGGTAAACCTGAAGTTTTATAATTATCATTACATTCCTTTATTTGTATCTCATATTTTTTACATCCAAAACAATGTATTATTATTGCTAGTCTAGTTTTTGAGGAAAATGGAATCATGATTAAGTGGTGAGTTGCTTTTTTCTTTGGCTCAACATTACGTTCCTAAGATTCATCCTGGCTGCTAACTTCAGCTACTTTGTAGTGCTCCATTTGAGACGGTGTTAAAATTTACTTATCCATTCTACTACTGATGAATATTTGGGTTGTTTACAGTTAAAGGTCCTGCTTTGAGACACATTTTTGTATCTTTCTTGTGCATATGTGCAAGAATTTCAGGTATAGGTATCTTTAACCTTACCAGATAAGGCCAAATTGTTTTTCAAAGAAGTTGTACTAATTTATACTCCCACCAGCAATGTAGTGTTCCAGTTCCGTATGCTTATCAACATTTGCTACTGTCAGACTTTGTGTTAACTGATTTACATTTCTCTGATTATTAATGAGGTTCATCATCTTTCCATAGCATACTGGTCAAAAGAGTTTCCTCTTCCGTGAAGTACCTAGTCAAGTGGTTTCCCCGTTGTCCTACTGGATTATTTTTTTCAAAATGGAGTCTTGTTCTGTCACCCAGACTGGAGTGCAGTGGCGCAATCTTGGCTCACTGCAGCCTCCACCTCCTGTGTTCAAGCAATTCTCCTTCCTCAGCCTCCCCTGTAGCTGGGATTACAGGCGCCCGCCACCACACCTGGCTAATTTTTTTTGTATTTTTTTGTAGAGACAGGGTCTCACCGTGTTGGCCAGGCTGGTCTCGAACTCCTGACCTTGTGATCCGCCTACCTCAGCCTCCCAAAGTGCTGGGATTACAGGCATGAACCACTGCGCCCAGCCTACTTATTTTCTTAACAATTTGTAGAAGTTCTTTATATATTCTGGATACTCTTCCTTTATCAGTTACCTGTGTTATCTTTTACCAAGGTTGTGGCCTTCCCTTTCATCTTCTTTATGGTATCATTTATGAACAGAGGTTTTGCATTTTCATGTAAATTCATCAATCTTCCCTTTTATCAACATTTTAAGTCTTAAGAAATCCTTTCCTACTGTGAGATCAGAAGTATATTTTACTACATTATGATCTCTACATTTTATCATTTTTGTCCTTTAAATTTCAGTGTTTACAGCAACTGGAATTGGTTTTTGTGTTTGATATGTGACAAGCATTCAATTTCATTTATTCCCACAGGGTTACCAATGGTCCCAGGCACTATTTATTGTGAAGACCATCTTTTCCCCACCCAAACTGCAAGAGCATTTCTGTCATAAATAGGTTTCCACTTACAAATGGATCTGCTTCTGGGCTCTTTATTTCATTCCACTGGTCGATCTGTCTATCCCAGTGCCAATACAAAACTGTCTTAATTACTAAAATTTTATAATCTCTTTATATCTGGTAAGGCAGGTCTCCTCACCTTGTTCTTCTTCTTCAGGAATGTCTTGGCTATTCTTGAATCTTTTCTCCTCCATATAAATTTTAGAATCAGCTTGTCAAGTTCCACAAAAAAACCTGTTGGGATTTTTATTGGAATTGCATTGAATCTATATATCTTGGGGGAGAATTGACATCTTTACAAAATTGAGCCTCCTAATCCATTGATCCTATCTCTTCACTAATTTAAGCTATTTTCCTTTAATGTCTTCAAACATTTTAATAATTTTCTCTAAATTGTTAAATCCATTCCTAGGTACTTTACATTTGGATGCTATTGTAATTGGCACCTTTTAAAAGGTATTATTAGGTTTTCTGTTTGTGGCCTATGTATAGAAATGCATTAAATTTTTATGCTGCTTCTGTATCTAGCAACCTTGCTAATTCCATAATATGTCTGATGAATATTAATTCTATAATATGTCATATTAATTCTATAATGTCATATTTATTAATTATAAATATGTCATATATAATAAATTATAAATATGTCATATTTATTAATTCTATAATATAATATGTCATATTAATTCTATAATATGTCTGATGAATCTGTGGGTTTTTCTGAAGACAGTATTTGGTCTGTGAAAAATTTATATTTTGTCCCTTCCTTTGCAATCCTTATACCTTTCTTTTCTTGCCTAGATCTCCAGTACAGGTCTGAATCTCATTCACTTTTAAGTCTGAATCTCCTTTCAATACTCTCACCCAATAGTCACCAGTGACTGAACACTAGAGTGATGGGAAATTTACTACCTTCCAAGGTAGGTCTTGGAACAGTTCTGTTTAAAACGACCCAACACCCAGACACACAATTTCTTTTGCATTTCCCTCGTACTAAGCAATGTAAAACCCAGATGTCAGCGGGCATCTTTTCTGCCCCTTGCAAAACGCAAACTCCCAACTCTCTGGACAGTGGAATTCCAAAGCCCTTGTCACAGTTCCTGCTAATTCCCACAGGACTGTGACTCTGATTCACTTATTTTGGGACAACTCATCAATGTAGAGGCGATTTCACCCATCTCAACTCAGATGCCACACTCAGTCCCATCACTAGTGACACACACATGCCTTCTTCACCTGGCAATCTAAGAGATGTGAGGTCCTGAGGAAGGTCACATCTCACATCGCACAGATTCTGACTATTTCACTGGCTTCACCTCTTTCCCTCTTTTCTTTCTCTCCTATCCCATTCCTCTCAGGAGCTAAGCCTTTTTTTTTTTTTTTTTTTGAGACAGAGTCTCACTCTGGTAGCCAGGAGGCTGGAGGGCAGTGCGGTGATCACTGTAGCTCACTGTAGCTCCTGCAGCTCTATAAAGTTAGCACTATAGCTCACACTGTAGCCTCCAAGTGTTGGGCTCAAATGATTCTCCCACCTCAGCCCCCTGAGTAGCTAGAACTACAGGCATGTGCCATCACGCCTGGCTAATTAAAAAAAATTGTTTTGTAGAGATAAGGTCTTGCTACATTGCCTAGGCTGGTCTTAAACTCCTGGCCTCAATCTTCCCGCATTGGCTTCCCAAAGTGCTAGATTACAGGCATGAACAACTGCACCCAGCCAGAAGCTAACACAATTTTATCTTTTTGTTTCTTTTTAAACCTTGATAATGCCTTAAAGACCTCAATTTTCCCTGAAAATGGGGGCTTCTGAGTGGTTTTTCAAAGTATTTCTTTTGAATAAATTCAATGATTCCTAGAAAGACAAATGCTGGTGAACAAAAAAGCTCCAGCTTGTAATTAGGATGAAAGCCACAGCCTAGAACTTCTAATCAGGTGGGCATTCACGGAAATGCTACAGTCTCCTTTTAGCCTGTCACATATCTGAAAACAGCTGTCATGTCCTATGAGTGTTGTTCCTTTAGTTATTCACCCCCATGGTCCAGTTTCTCTCCAGAACAACATCCCATTTGGTGATATCCCTTTTTATAGAGACCTGACCACAAGACTCCTGACACAGTTCAAACTAGGCATAGGAACTTCTTTATTCTAGATGTTATATATCCATCGAAGCAAACTAAGTCCATTAGATTTATTTCCCATATTCAAAAAAATCTGCTTTAAAAATATTATAAAAAGAATATGCTTGTTTTAAGTCAAATAATTTAGTAGAAAACAAAGTTCCCTATTATGTCTCTCCTCTCTTCCAGCCCCCTTGTAGGCAGCCACTGTTGACAATTTGTAGTCTTTCAGACTTAAAAAAAAAAGCATTAACATACCCAAACACACACAGATATACATATTTTTGAAAACAAAAATGAAATTATCCCACATATGTTTTCTCACATAACAATATAACTTAGAGATCTATGTGAACACATTTATTTTAATGATAGTATAGAATATCATAATGGATATAAGAAATCATCTGGCCATTCTATTTGACAGATATTTGCGTTTTTATCTTCTTTGCTATTATAAATAATGCTGTCATAAACATCTTTGTACATGGCTTTTTCTGTTAAGAATCTCAGAAGCTTGGTCAGAAAACTCAAACATTTAAATAATGATTGGTACTGCCAGAATCATCCCTCCAATGCAATACCAATTTAAACTCCCCCACCTGTAAGTCTCTGCAGCCCCATACTTTTGTCCACATTTGATATAAAGCTTTTTAAATTTTCAAATCTGATAGGTCCAAAATAATGGTTAGCTTTAATCTGTATTTCCCTGATTACTAGATATAGTTGATCTTCTTTTCATATCTTTATAGACCATCTGTATTTCTTCTGTAAATTGCCAGTTTCTTGACTGGATTGTTTACCTTTTACTCACAGGTTTGTATATTCTGGAACATTCTTTGTCTACCTATGGCAAATAGATTCTCCCAGTTGGCCACTTTTTTACGACATCATTTGTCACAAAGATGTTTCACATTTTAATATATTTGCTATCTTTCAAACTTTTCCATTCTGGCATCTAAATCTTCTAAGTAGCTTAGAAAGGCCTTCCCCATCTGATGGTTACTAAAAATATTATTCTATGACAGTAGACACAAATTGGTTTGTTTGCCCTATGTGTTATTTCTCCTCTTCTCTCCCAGGGCTGACTGATCCAAACACAGTCATACCTGACTGATACTGAGCCAATCAGATTCTCTCCCAGGATTTTGAAAACTAGGAAGAAGCAGGGGCTTCCCTAGAAGGGCCCCAAAGCCACCAAGGTCGGCTCTACCTGAGACTTGGTACTCCAACTTACCTTCTGATTCTGCCAGCTCCTCCAGTGTCTTCCCAAATCAATAGTTCTGTTTGTTTTTGCTTAATTTAGTTGAGGTGACTTCTCTTGCTTTTAACTAGAGGACCTTAACTGATTTAGCAATTACTATCAGAGTGGGTTGTAGTTGAGAGACTGCTAGGGGAAACGTGGGTGATGTTACTGGGTTCAGATGGAAGGAAAGAAACTGACAACCAATTGCCAGGATGGGAAAGAGCAAGCTGCTCACAGTTCATAGCTGCACAACTACTATTTTAGTTATTGCTTGCAATTACCTGTGATGTGTTCAAGCTGGTGGTAAACGAGTAGGGGTGTCCCAATTAAAAGGAGAGGGGAAATGTTGAAACCAAGGAGTAGGATTACTTCTGACAATATTAGAGAACAAAACAAGAAATAACCCAGCTCCAATATCAAATGCTCACCTTGAAATGAAAACCCAAGACTCAGGGCCTTTACATTACTATATATGTATTTTGCTAAGTGAAATGTTAAGGTTTCCAAATTTTGCGAGTTGCTGAATTTTAATGCCACAGAATTCACATCTTTCCTGGGTTGCTCATGAGAAAGATAAGGCTTTAAGTGAGACAACAGAAATGATGATAAAAGAGAGGACCCAAAGAAAGTTAATTTCCAAAAATCTCTATTATGCTCTCTACTGCATCTTGCTGTCATGATGAAAACTGCCCCACAACCCAGCCTGCATTGCCCACACATTACCAGAATGCAAGCATAACATGACCTGAGGGTAAAATGCATAAATAAGGTAGAAAAGTAAAATGCTGGCCAGGCACAGTAGCTCATGCCTGTAATCCCAGCACTCTGGGAGACCAAGGTGGGAGGACTGCTTGAGATCAGGAGTTCAAGACCAGCCTGGGCAACACAACAAGACCCCGTCTCTACAGCGGGGGAAAAAAAGTAAAGAGCTAATAAATATCCAGAAGAAACTACAGGAATTCACTGAGCTGGATCATTACAAATGATAGGAACAATTGTTGATATAGATTTTGGAGACGTTATAACAAGGAAGGGAGAGTATGACTTGGTTAAAGCCAAATTTCTTTTCTTTTTTGAGATGGAGTCTTGTTCTGTCCCCCAGGCTGGAGAGCAGTGGTGCAATCTTGGCTCACTGCAACCTCTGCCTCCCGGGTTCAAGCGATTCTCCTGCCTCAGCCTCCCGAGTAGCTGGGATTACAGGCACTCACCACCATGCCCGGCTAATTTTTGTATTTTTAGTAGAGACAGGGTTTCAGCATGTTGGTCAGGCTGGTCTCAAACTCCTGACCTCAAGTGATCTGCCTGCCTCAGCCTCCCAAAGTTCTGGGATTACAGGCATGAGCCATTGTGCCCAGCCTGGATAAAGCCAAATTTCTAATTATGGTATGGTCAAAAGAACTTCTGCAGGTAGTGTAACAGCTCAGGTAACTGGCCATGGTTTTAATGTTGAGCTAGGCTCGCCAGTGGAAACCTGGACTGAATGCTGGATTTAGTGAGGTGATAATGAAAAGCCAGAAAAACCTGGGCACAAAGTAGAGGAGACCAGAGTGGCATATGGACTCTAAAGGCTCAGCCTTCTACTGACACCTTCAGTATGCCCTTGATGGGATCCACATCACATGCCTTGCTGAGGCTATACACTGGTGAGGAAAGCACTGGAATCTTTCAGAAGTGCTTTCCTGGCTGTCCTCAGCAGCGTGAGATGCTAGTGGAAGGGACTATTTCAAAATGGGATTCCTGATCTAAGTGGGCTAGAAAGACTGTTGGAGACCATGATCAGACGTTTATGGCTGTGAATAATTCATTGTGAAGCTCCCAGTAATGGAAACGGAAAGTAGCTTTCCAGGTCAGTTTAGGCAGCCTACTAGACCACCATGCTAGAGAGGGGGCCCCCTCATCCAACTCGTAGGCCTGGGTCATTTCAGACCCAGAACCCTTCAATAACAGGGAGGCCAGGCATCTGTAAGGAGGAACCCTGCCACAGCGCATTAACACACATATATTATAAACCTCCCTCCTCATCTTTTCTTAATAATCTGCAGATATTTGCCATGGCAACTGTACTAGGTAAAGGGAAATGCATCTTTTGGGGTCTGCTAGGTCCTGGCCTTGAGGTAGCTACTTGCTAGGAACTCAGAATGTCGCTAAGATATGCTAGTTAGAACGGAGCCTTTGCAGGCCAGCTGATGGAAGGAATTTTGGCCTGAGGTGGCTTCACATTAGGACCTATTAATCTATCTAATCTATCTTACCTGTCTGTCGATCTGTCTGTCTGCCTGCCTGCCTGTCTGTCAGGGCCTCCAAAAGGGAGGGAAAGAAACTAGATGCTCCCGGCTCTGTGAAGTTGGCTAGACCTCCCTCTGTGCCACCTTGATTTTCAATAACATTGGCCATTAGGTAATGCCCAAAGACACACAGATTCCCTAGCCCACTGGATAAGAACCATCACAGAAAGAGCAAATGTAAGCTCCTAGAGCAGTGATCTCTTTAGCAAAAGGCGAAGTCTCCATGTGAACCGCAGGATCTTAAGTGCTACAGAAGACTTTGCAGATTTGCAGTTACTTTTCCAGACGTACTCTACTTTCTGCAGATTAACATATAACTCCTGGTACCTAGACTACTGCTAGGGGTAAGTGTGTGTTCTTTTTAAGTTGTGTGGACTACTTGAAGCAGTTTTTCTTGCTCATGGCAAGAGCAGCCTCAGTGATAAATCATCTTGACCTTTCTGTGTTGTGATCTGGTTCATCAAGATTTTGTCTGTTTCACAGGACATTACCTTGACAACTATGCTAATGACATCAATGTGAGACATGAAAAGCAGGAAGTTATGTATCTTAGATGTACATGTCAGACATAAAAATACAGTGGCCTGCCACCTCAGCCAAATTTTCTGAAAGTCAAAGGCCTGCAGCACGTCAGGGTATCTCCTCCAACATAAAAGACAACTTGTTGCCCCTTGCCCCACCACCCCTCTCCTGCTAACAAAGAGGAGCAATGCTTGCTGGGCCATTTTGAGTTTTGGAGACAGCAGATACCTTATCCTTGCATCCAACTCTGATCTCTCAATTTAATCCATCTAATCCATCTGATCAATCAATCAATCTACCTACCTACCTACATAGAGACAAGATCTTGCTCTGTCACACAGGCTGCAGTGCAGTGGTGCAATCACAGCTCACTGCAGCCTCAAACTCCTAGGCTCAAGCAATACCCCACCTCAGCCTCCCCAGTAGCTGGAACTACGGGTGCATACCACCATGCCCAGCTAATTTTTTGAAGAGGCAGGCTTTCGCCATGTTGCCCAGGCTGGTCTTGAGCTCCTGGACTCAAAGCAATCTGCCTGCCTCATCTCCCAAAGTGCGAGGATTAAAGGCATGAGCCACTGTGCCCAGCCTCTGACCAATTTATTGAGTGATCTGAAAAGAGAAAGTGCTCCTGCTGATCCAGGCCACAGAGAAATAAGCTCTGGTAGATTGTATGGAGCTCTAGAGTGTTTGTAGTAAGGTAAACAGAAGAATCGTAATATTTGGATATGGATATAAGACCATGATCCTATTGGTAAGACCATGCTCCTAGCCTAGTACTGGGCTCTAGGGTAGAGACTGCAAGCCTGATCACAGACAGGTATCCAAATGACTTCAACTCCCCATCGTAAACTAGGGGTTTTTTTGTTTGTTTTGTTTTTTTGAGATGGAGTTTCGCTCTTGTCGCCCAGGCTACAGTGCAATGGCGTGGTCTCGGCTCAATGCAACCTCTGCCTCCCGGGTTCAAGCGATTCTCCTGCCTCAACCTCCCGAGTAGCTGGGATTACAGGCATTTGCCACCATGCCTGGCTAATTTTTGTATTTTTAGTAGAGACGGGGTTTCACCATGTTGGCCAGGCTGGTCTTGAACTTCTGACCTCAGGTGATCTGTCCAACTCAGCCTCTCAAAGTGCAGGGATTACAGGCATGAGCCACCGGGCCGGTCTCGTAAACTAGGTATTATGAGATTCAATTAGCCATAGATTTGGACATGCCCAGCAGAATCCCATTATCAGCTGGAAGTGATCTCTATAAAATGCCTACCACACAACCCACTGCCGCAATAGATACTTCTGACTTCCTATTGACATCAACAGTTAACTGAAGAAGAAAAAGTCCGGCCTGGTATATAAACTGCTTGGTGAAACATGCTGGCCCATGCTGGGCTGGAAGTAGACTGCTATGGGGTATACTACTTAAGTGATGGCTTTGAATGTGTATAAAAGAGAAATTCTCCTAGTGAAGAGAACTTCAAGCAAATTATCACACCACTTATCTCACTGGAAGTCAGGATCTAAACCAATCGCTGGGTAGTGGATAACTAGCACAAGAAAGAAAATATTTATGTTCCATGTGAATGCTCACAAGATGGCACTCATTGCTAGAAACCCAGGTGATGATGGTCAGCCCTTTCCCTCACTACCCTAGTGCTGGCCCAATGAGCTCGTGAACACGGTTGCCATGGTAGCACAGCAAATGGCTCTCACCACAATATCTATCCGAATTTACCTGTCATGCCTCCAGGAATACCATCACCATCCAGGGATTTACTGAAATACCTTACCATGGAGTCTCAGGGAATATTACCTCCAAACAAATAATTCGTTTCATGCTTATGTAAATTTAATGTTATGGAAAAAGAAAAGAACTAATTTGTCAGAAAAAAAGTATAGTAATGGGATCACATACCCCATCACCCAGAAGCAGTTGGCATTATAGATTACAAAACAGTACAATGCCTAGCACAGATCCAGCTATGGTACTGAGGCTGGAGTGCTGTCTTGTGAGATGTGGTAAATTTTTTTTTTTTTTTTTTGAGATGGAGTTTCACTCTTGTCGCCCAGGCTGGAGTGCAATGGCACGACCTTGGCTCACTGCAACCTCCGCCTCCCAGGTTCAAGCAATTCTCCTGCCTCAGCCTCAGACTTCCAAGTAGCTGGGATTACAGGCACGTGCCACCACGCCTGGCTAATTTTTGTATTTTTAGTAGAGATGGGATGGGATTGCCCCATGTTAGCCAGGCTAGTCTTGAACTCCTGGCTTCAGGTGATCTGCCTGGCTTGGCCTCCCAAAGTGCTGGGATTACAGGTGTGAGCCACTGTGCCTGGCAGGATGTGGTAAATCTTATCAATCAATAATGAACATTAAATGGTGCTATTTTTCCAATAGCCCCCAAAAAGGGTCCAAGCTATTCTGTTAACTCTTGCCTGGTAAATGGTCTCCCACTTCAACTCTTGCCTCTCCCTTTTATCTATTCTCTATATTGTAGTTAGTTATTTTCTCAAAATGCAAATCTGACATCACTCACCACTCCCCCTAAGCCCTTCTGTCATGGAGCAGATATGAATGGTGACCCACTGACCCAATAACCATTCCTCCTTTACCAGACCTCCTATTCTGTGAGGTTATCCATCCATATCCCACATGAATATCTAAAAAAAATTTTTTCTTGAGACAGGATCTGGCTCTGTTGTCCAGGCTGGGGTGCAGTGGAGTGAATCTGACTCACTGCAACCTCCACCCCGCAGGCTCAAGCGATACTCCCACCTCATCTCCCAAGTAGCTGAGACTGCAGGCATGTACCACTATGCTCAGCTAATTTTTGTATTTTGTTGTTGTTGTTGTTGTAGAGATGGGGTTTCACCATGTTGCTCAGGCTGGTTTCGAACTCCTGTGATCAAGGCAATCTGCCTGCCTCAGCCTCTCAAAGTGTTGGGATTATAGGTGTGAGCTAGCATGCCTGGCCTTGACCCAGGAGTAATCTGGACTAGTCTCAGCCAACCACAGTAACCTTATTTTCTCCCTTGCTCACGACCGGTTTAAGAAGGAGCATGTGACAAGAGAAGTCTCCAGAAGCTTTTGGGAAAATTTTTCCCACTGATAAAAAAGGAGCCAGCCTATAAGGCAAAGCTGACACATGGCTTAGTGGAAAGTTGTGAAGGAAACTGATGGTTTAGCAATGCCCCAGCTGATGTATTTACCAACTCTGGAACTGCTCCTCTGTGTCCTTAAATCCATCCCCCATTTCCTAGTCATGACATTAGGTCAATCTACTAGCACTTCTGATATTAACACCTGTAACCCCTAACTGTATTCCCGCAACTATTCTGGTCTGCCCATGGGCTATTCTCCTTACAGAAGCCAGAGTCATTTTTTCTTTTTTTTGAGATGGGGTCTCCCTCTGTTGCCCAGGCTGCAGTGCAGTAGCATGATCTCGGCTCACTGCAAGCTCCGCCTCCCGGGTTCTGACCATTCTCCTGCCTCAGCCTCCAGAGTAGCTGCAACTATAGGTGCCCACCACCATGCCCAGCTAATTTTTTGTATTTTTAGTAGAGACAGGGTTTCACTGTGTTAGCCAGGATGGTCTCGATCTCCTGACCTTGTGATCCGCCCGCCTTGGCCTCCCAAAGTGCTGGGATTACAGGCGTGAGCCACCGTGCCCAGCTGAGTCATTTTTTCAAGATGTAAATCTGGCTGCTCTATGGCTTGCCACTTCTCTCATGACTATCTGCAAGGTCTGTGGTCTGGCCACACTAGTTTCACCTCTTATCCTCCTTTGAAGCTCTGGTCTTCAGCTGCACACAGCCCTGTCATGTTCTGGGTGTGCCCTCCTTCAGCACACTCACTCCTGACAATTCTCCTGCTATTTCCAGTGGCTGGAAGGCTCCCCAATCCCCTGTCCCCACCACCCTTGCCTATGATTAGGTATCAATTAAAATATCATTTATTCGAGGAAGCTCTTGTTTTTTTGAGATGGAGTCTCGCTCTGTCGCCAGGTCAGAGTGCAGTGGCGTGACCTTGGCTCACTGCAACCTCCGCCTCCTGGGTTCAAGCGATTCTCCTGCCTCAGCCTCCTGAGTAGCTGGGACTACAGGCACATGCCACCACGCCCAGCTAATTTTTGTATTTTTAGTAGAGACAGGGTTTCACCAAGTCAGCCAGGATGGTCTCTATCTCTTGACCTCGTGATGTGCCCGCCTCAGCCTCCCAAAGTGTTGGGATTACAGGCGTGAGTCACCGTGCTGGCCAGAAGCTCTTCTGATCTGGGATCAGAACTGGTAGGCTAGGATCACCAACTGGTGGATTAAAAACATATTCTGCTTCCTTGTGGGAATTATAAAAAATGTGAATCTAAATACTCAAGATGAGACCTGTGCTCTGCAGTCTCCCATGGTCGTCATTTCCCACACTGATCTATCCCACTGTCTACTTTAAACACTGACACCCCTGCTCTAGACTCAAAAAGGCAACCTCTTAATATGGATGCCTACAAATATGCACCAGTCCTTCATGTGCTGTACTGCTGTTTGAACTTACACAGTTATATTTGTTCTTGTTTGTGAGGTTTCCCTCCTGGACAGTGAGTTCCTTGAGAATAGGGATTGGATCTGTTTCTGCTCCTCATCATATCACTGGCAACTAGAATATTACCTGACAAATATTAGATGCTTGCTAAGTATTTATTAAACAAAAGAAGTAAGAGATGTGATGATGACTGAATGGATGGGTAGATTAGGGAGGTGAGGCAAATCTCACTTCATTTCCTATCCATGATCATACAGGGAGTCAGATAAACTTGGTAAAACATTTCTCACCTCTTAAACATTAAAAGCCCATTTTTTACTTCATGACTCCAAAGATCTGAAAGGTCTGACTTTAGGTCTGCCTTCTTCCCTGCTGATACACCAGCCTCAACAAAGTACTCACGTTGAATTCCTCCCTGAAGAGCTTATTGTCGTCTGCCATTCTCCGGTTAATTTCCTCTTCCAGCTTGTCCACGGGCAGGGGTGGGTATTTCCTGTTGGTGCTTGGGGATCTGGCCAGAAGTGGCACACTCTGGGGCTCTGCAGTACACAAGGGAGAAGGTCAGTCAGGTACCCTGAGAACCTAGCCCCTCTTCTGGAGGCTAAACGGGGTTCTACCTCATGGACCAAGCCTGTAAGAACTAGGACTGTTTTCTTCAAAAATCTTTTTTCCTCTTTTTATTGTCTTATTCTTTTAAAAGGATGGAGAAACTCCTAATTTCTTGATTTCCTTCCTTGTGAAGGTTCCCCATGACATTAAGGAATGCCTTACCCACATCCTCAGTGCGGCCGTTGGATAAGCGGAAAGAATTGGAATGGCTCCCAGCTTGCTTGTATTTCTTAAACCTAATGAGAAAATGATCACAGTGAAGAATGGAGCACAGAGGTGGGAGAGGCAAATCACACCTCTGTATTCCTGCTCATCAATTCAGCCTTTCTAAATCGCCTTTAAAAATAATCGGGCTTTTTTAGAGACAGGTCATGCACACCCTGAGGCAGCAGCATGCTGGGGTGACCGAGTACCTCGGGATACTCCTGTTTACCCTTGGCACACTGGAATCCAACCAGGGAACCCCAACAGTATATTCAGGCTCATGTGGCTCACTGCAGAGCACAGCCACACCAGGTAGAGAGAGGGTGAGTGGGTGGAATACAGCTGGGGGAGACAGACAATATATATCAAACAAAAATCTTGGTATTTCCTCAGTGTAGCCTGGGAGACCCAGGGAGAAGCCCAGAGCTTTGGATTGGGTGGACACAGTCCTGGCCACAAGTCTCCTGCAGAATGATAGAGACACATGACAAATTATAGGGGGCACATGATTCCTCTCTCTTTATCCCTGCAGAAGAACAGAGGGAGCACAGAACATCTTTGGTTAGGCCAAAGATAAGGCAGGGCTAAATCCAATTAGTCAGGGCAGTAGCTTTAGCAGGAAGAGAATAAATGCACCACCCTCTTCTCTCCCTTGGGTTCCCCTTCCTTGCTTCTGCTTGAGTGGTAACGTCTAGAGGACCCTGAAAGAAGGTTAGAAAGAGGGATCCTGTAACTCACAACTCACATGGCTCAACTCAACATGCCAGGGCCAGGGGTCCCAGAAGGGTCTGGGGACAAAGCCCCAGCCAGAAATACAGTAGGCTTTTGTTGAGCATGTAATCTTACTGGGGCCCTTTTAGGGGTTGCTTCAGCAGGGCTAGACCTAGAGATCCTGTAACACCTGTCACTAATAACAAACTGCGGTTTCTTACCTCAACCTCCAAACTACCATTCTGGGCTTTAGCTTGCACTGGAGTTGGGAGACTGGGCTTGGACAGATGGAAGAAAGAGGGAGGGCTTAGGACTTAAGGAAGACTATGTAGAGCTTTTAAATAATTTCTAAGTAGAACTTCAATTTTAGCACTATCATGGGTCATTCCCCCTCTATCCTATTCATTGTGTATATCCTACTGTCTACTGGACTGTGTGGGTTCATTGGGACACTGGGATATTGAAACAGAATCTAAGAGAATGTGAAGTGTTAGTAGGCTCACCTTAACATGTACAAAACTATGATAATAAACACGATCACTAGCAGAGAGGACAGGGCCACCATCACCGCAATAATTGGTGTCTCATCTGAAATCAAGACAACAGAACAAGTCATTACTGTGTTGTGCAATGGAGGGCTTAAGTCAGCCATTCAGGGCAACACCCTGAAGAGGAAGAGCTCATTCAGTCCTTCTGCAGATGCCAGGAAATGGAAACAGAGAAGAAAGTATGAGTGTGCACCTCCCACTGCCATGCCAGGGCTATTGAGGTGAGGTGGGGAGAGAGCATGGGGCCCAGGATGACATGCTCACCCCATCTCTGACTATCATACATTTATTTACTCTGTCTCCCTGCATTAGAATAAAAGCTGTTTAAAGGCAGACACTTTGTTTTACTCACTGCTATATCCTTTGAGCCTAAAACAGTACTTAGCACATAAAAAGCACTGGAATATCTGGAGGCATGAACACATTCAATTCTGATGGCAAGTTAGGTATGCAGGGCCAACACTGTACACTCTCTCAGCCTCAATGGGTTCCATCTAGAGGAAGATGGGAGAGGAAGGGAAAAAGACAGTTTTCCTATCATAAACCCAAATGGTTTCCGGGCACAGAGAATACTGTTCCTAATTAAAACAAGGAGACAAGTAGGGCACAATGGCTCATGCCTGTAATCCTAGCATTTTAGGAGGACAAAGCGGGTGGATTGCTTGAGCCAAGGTATTCGAGACCAGCCTGGCAACAGGGTAAAACTCCATCTCTACTAAAAATTAAAAAAATAGCCGGTGTGGTGATGTGCGCCTATAGTCCCAGCTACTCAGGAGGCTGAGGTAGGAGGATCACTGGAGCTTAGGAGATGGAGATTACAGTGAGCCGGGCCTGTACACTACACTCCACCCTGGGCAACAGAGCAAGACCCTGTCTCAAAACAAACAAACAAACAAACAAACAAACAAACAAACAAACAAGGAGACAGCTGGGTGTGGCGGCTCATGCCTATCCCAGCACTTTGGGAGGCTGAGGTAGAAGGATTGCTTGAGGCCAGGAATTTGAGACCAGCTAAATAAAAATAAAATAAAACAAGGAGACATTATTAGATCCTCAGCCACCATGTAACAAAACTGCTGGTTGCTTCTTTTTTCCTCTTTCCACACCCTGCTCCCTTAGTCACCTTTTGCCAGGACCCCAACCATGGCAACATCTGGTTTGAAGACATGGCAATCCCACCTCATTCCACAGGGCCTGGCTCCCTTTCACCCAATACCTAGCCTTGTTTTCTCATGCAGCTGGCCAGGCACTGACTCATCCGCCTCCACTCTCACCCTCCACCCGACTCCATGAACTACACCATCAGAGTGGCTTGGTAACTATCTTCACCATTTTCCTACCTGCTAAAAGGGAAGACAAGTCTCTTCCATCCTGTCATGTGTGCTCTGGATTACATCCACTGCTGTCAACTCAAAGACTTGTCTTCTTGACCTCATTTACCCTCCCCCAGCTACCACCAGCCTCGCGTCTCTCTTCTCAGCTGACTTTCCGAAACACAGTTGTCTAATTCGTCTTGTCTAATTCCTTACCTTCAGGTTCTCCTTAATCTATTTGCCCTGACTCCCACCCTCAGTGCTCTGTTTAAACTGCTCAGCCAGAACACCAACAAATGGCATATTGCCAAATCCAACAGGAACATTCCCATCCTCATCTGATTCAACCTTTTAGCAGCATTCATTCAAATATCTGTGGGCCAGCAATTGCATGCCATTGTTTGAGACACTAGGAACAGAGAAGTGTTCAAGGAGACAAGTGATAGAAAGCTTCCATTCTGTGGGGAGGAAGGAAGACACTGTTTATAAACAAGTCAATACTTAATTTTAGACAGGGACAAGTGCTATGAGGAATAAAAAGCAGGGTGGGGAGAGAGAAAGTGACAGGTTGGGGAGCAGTGATACAGTGGTCTGGGAAGGTCTCTCTGAGGAAGTAATATACAAGCAGAGCTCTAAATAACGTGAAGTGAACCACGCAAAGATCTGGGTGAAGAGCTTTCTAGACACTGGGAACAGCAAGCATGGTAGCTCTCAGGAGCTTGGCAGGTTCAAGAAACAGCACAAAGGCCAGTTCAATATAAGATGCCAGAGAGGTGGGCAAAAGCCAGCAGACTTAGGACTTGGGAGTCCATTGTAATGATTGTGGATTTAATTCTGAGTGTGATGAGAAACACTATGTCATCGAAGGGCTTTGAACAGAGGAGATATATAACTGGATTTACATTCTGTTAAAAGCTAAACTGACCCATAAGCAGTAGCCATGAGGTGAGAGGTTAATCTAAGAATGTAGTGTCATAGAAGCCAAGAGCAGAGTTTTTCAAGGAGGGAGCAATCAATTCAATCAAATACTGCCTACAGACTTAAGAAGGATGAGACAGAGAAGTGAAACCAGATTTGACAAGACGGTGGCTACTGGTGACCTTTCCAAGAGTATTTTCAGTTGAATATGGGTGAGAAAGCCTAAATGGAGTGAAATAAAGATAGAAAAAGGACAGTGAGACACTGGGTCCTTTCGTGGGGACTTTTAACATTAAGGGATGCAGAGGAAAGGAATGACAGATGGAGGGAGATGTGAGTGAGGTGGACAGATGGGTTTTTTTTGGTTTTGTTTTTAGAGATGGAAGACATTACATGACGCTTCTTTGTTAATGGTAAGTTTCAAACATACTGTGGTATGTGGCTCTCACCTTAAAATGAGTGTTCAGACTGGCTGATCACTCCTTCCTCTCTGAAGCACTTTCCTCTCTTAGCTTTCCACAACGAAACACTCCTCTGATTTTCCTTCTATCTCGTCTGCCCATCTCAGTTTCCCTCACTATCTGTTCCTCTTCCAACACCAGATCTCTAAATGTGGGAATTCCTCAGGGCTCTGTCCTTGGCACTCTTCTCTATATCTAGTTAATCTGATCAGAGAGATGACTGTAAATATAAATGCCATGCTAGCAATTCCCACAGTTGCTTTGCTTGATCAGACCTCTTTTCTGAGTTCCAGATTCTCAACTGCCTATTTGCCACCTCCACTTTAAATTTCATAGGCAACACAAGCTTTCTGTGTTTAAAACCTTTCCCTCACCATTCAGTAGCTAGTACTCCAACCCACCCTGTTGCTCAAGTAAGAAATGTGGAAACCCCCTTGATTTCTTCCTCACACTTATCTTCTATATCTAGCACAGCTGCAAATAATATATTTTGGAGATATATCTAAAACTTCAAATCTGTCTGCCTTTTTTTTTTTTTTTTTTTGCATTTTTTTTATTGCCACCAGTGTAGTCCCAACCTCCATCCTCTCTCACCTGGATCACAGTAAGCCTCTGCCCCTGCCAATCCATTCTCCACAAAGCAGAGTGATCTCTAGGAAAGCAACTCAGGTTGTGTCCCACTCTTAGGTAAAACCCTCCAACAGTTTCTCATGCCTCAGAATGAAATCTAATCTCCTTATCCTGGACTCTAACAACCCCCTCGATTTAGCCCCTACCTGCCCTATCTCTTGCACTCTTTCCTTGCTCACTCAATTTCAGCCACTGGTGTCCTTCCATGCTTTCATTCATTCATCCTCAGGCCTTTGAGCATGTTATTCCTTCTGCTTTACACAGCCTCTCTCTGTTCTTTGCCTGGTTATCTCCTACTTGTCTGGTTCTCTGTGTGTCACTTTTCCCACACAGGTCTTCTCTGACTTCCTAATACTAAATTAGGATCATAAGTCTCAGTTTCCTCATTTCTGAAATAAGTTATTCTGCGTATTAAATGAGATCTTTCATGTAAAGTTGTTGGCACAGTAACTAGCACACAGTGTGTACTTCATTTTAGCTGTTACGGCCAGGCACAGTGGCTCACGCCTGCAATCCCAGCACTTTGGGAAGCCGAGGTGGGCAGATCATGAGGTCAAGAATTCGAGACCAGCTTGGCCAACATGGTGAAACCCCATCTCTACTAAAAATACAAAAAAAATTAGCCAGGTGTGGTGGCACATGCCTGTAATCTCAGCTACTTAGGAGGCTGAGGCAGGAGAATCGCTTGAACCTGGGGGGCAGAGGTTGTAGTGAGCCGAGATTGCGCCACTGCACTTCAGCCTGGGCAATAGAGCGAGACTCTGTCTCAAAAAAAAAAAAAAAATTGCTGTTATTTCCTATACTATTTTTGTAAGGCAAGGACCTTATTATTTTCCTTGATAATACCTCTCACACTTTATAATTACATATTTGACTTTGTTGATTAATGAATATCCCTCCTTTATAGCATAAATTCCACAAGAGCAAGGATTACATGTCTGCTTCATTCTCACTGTACACCTAAAACCTAGCACAGGGTCTCACACATAACAGGCACAAAACAAACAATGGATTACGTTGAGCCAAAGAACAAAAAAAAATAGTAATTTATCACTAAATGTCTTTGTTAAATTCCAACAACAGGGGGCAGTATATCAGGTATTATAAGAAAGTAATTAGGCACATCCCAGCACTTTGGGAGGCCGAGGCGGGTGGATCACAAGGTCAGGAGTTCAAGACCAGCCTGGCCAATATGGTGAAACCCCGTCTCTGCTAAAAATACAAAATTAGCGGGTGTGGTGGCACACCCCTCTGGTCCCAGCTACTCAGGAGGCTGAGGCAGGAGAATCGCTTGTACCCAGGAGGCGGAGGTTTCAGTGAGCCAAGATCGTGCCACTGCACTCCAGCCTGGGTGACGGAGCGAGACTCTGCCTCAAAAAAAAAAAAAAAAAGAAGAAGAAGAAAGTAATTAGGCACCTTTGGCTTAAGACACTGGGCTAAATCCATGAATTTACTTCATCTTCCCCCAAAGCACACTGACATGGTAGAAGAAATATAAAAATACTAATGAATCAACAGCATATCTGAAAGGCAGCAAACGGTGGCATATGTAGATCAGAATCTTTGAGAGATTTCTGGAAGACAAAACAGACCAGACTCGATGTCCAAGAGATCAAACAGAGCCAAAGAGCCTCCAGCTGAAAACTAAGTACTAGTTCTACCAGTTTGGGCCTGGAAACACCTCAAGCTCAGAGGGAATTGGGACTGGGGTTGAAAGTGGACCTTGAGGTACCAGGATGGTACTTAAGCAAAGGCCTGCCAACCCAGCACCAGTACACCCACAGCCCAAATGACAAGCGGGGCTTCCCATCTAGACTCAGCTGGAAAAACAGTGCTCTACACAGAGTAGAGAGTTTGTCACAGAGACTGGTAAGGGCTTCTTTTTTACAAAACATATGCTGCATATATATTTTCTCAACGTCACACTAATGACATTTTGGGCTATACAATTCTCTGTTATGTGGGTCTGTCATGTGCACTGTAGGACATTTAACAATATCCCTAGCCTCTAATTATTAGATGTCTGTAGCAAATTCCCAATTTTGATGACCAAAAGTATCTCCAAGCATTGCTAAATGCCTTTGTGGGGGAAATAGCCCCCAGTAAGGAACCACTGGTCTATACTCACGCCATTCTAACTGAATTCTTTTAAGGCAAATCCGAGACCTAGCATTTCAAATGCAATTACTTAGGTATGTATCACCAAGAGATCAAGATTCTTAACATAAACATAATACTATTATCCAATTTAAAAAGTAACACTAATTCCTTAGTATCATCTAATATTATTCAGTTACTGCTTGAATTTCCCTGAGTGTCTCATAAATGCTTTTTTTTTGTTTTGGTTAGAATTGACACCAGAGCAGGTCTACACTGCATATGATTGTTAAGTATATTGGGTCCACAGAAGGTCTCCTGGGGCCTGCAGACAGAAAAAAACCATAGTAGTGCCCAAGCTAATTCTAGGCAACCACAAGAGAGGAAAGGAAAAAGAAAACGGCAGCTCGCCTAGAGGATAACTGCACCCTGCCCCGATTTTCCTGAGCCATCACTGAACCCCTTCCTGGTTTAGGACGTATGTCCATGTTTGTCTTCTGAAGGGATGAAGGGACACCTATTGTGAGCACAGTCTAAGCCACTCAATGGTCCAGGGCATAGCTCAAACAGAGCAACAGTAGCCCTGGGAAATGGAGGTGACAAAAGAAACAGAATAAATCTTTCAAAATATACTGCAATTTGTGCAACAGGATGCCATATTGATTTAAAAAAATTTTTTTTCTTAAATTTTTTGTAGAGATGGGGGGAGGGGGTCTTGTTGTTGCCCAGGCTGGTCTTGAACTCTTGGTCTCAAGTGATCTTCTTGCCTTGGCCTCCCAAAATGCTATGATTATGTGCGTGAGCCACTGCTGCATTGCGTTTTTTTTTCTTTTCTCGAGACGGAGTCTCACTCCGTCACCCAGGCTGAAGTGCACTGGCGTGATCTTGGTTCACTGCAACGGCCTCCTGGTTCGAGCGATCCTCACACCTTAGCCTCCCTAGTAGCTGGAACTGCAGGCCTGGCTAAGTTTTGTATTTTTAGTAGAGACAGGGTTTCACTATGTTGGCCAGCCTGGTCTTGAACTCCTGACCTCAGGTGATCAGCCTGCCTCAGCCTCCCAAAGTGCTGGGATTATAGGTGTGAGCCACTGTGCCCAGCCTACATTGATATTTTTTAAAAGCCACTATTTAAAAAGGAGTAATCTGAGTAGTAAGAAGGAGTTCTTTAAAAACTGGCCGGGCATGGTGGCTCACGCCTGTAATCCCAACACTTTGGGAGGCCGAGGCAGGCAGATCACCTGAGGTTGGTAGTTTAAGAGCAGCCTGACCAACATAGAGAAACCCCATCTCTACTAAAAATACAAAATTAGCCAGGTGTGGTGGCACATGCCTGTAATCCCAGCTACTCTGGGGGCTGAGGCAGGAGAATCGTTTGAACCTGGAAGGCAGAGGTTGCGGTGAACCGAGATCGTGCCATTGCACACCAGCTTGGGCAACAAGAGCAAAACTCCGTCTCAAAACAAAACAAAACAAAAATGAAAACAAACAAAAAAACACCAACATGATTAGGAGGGAAAAAATCTAGATAGAAAGGCTTAACAGGGCCGGGCACGGTGGCTCATGCCTGTAAGCCCAACACTTTGGGAGGCCAGGGTGGGAGGACTGCTTGAGGCCAGGAGTTTGAGACCAGCCTGGGCAACTTAGCGAGACTCTGGTAGTCTGTCTCTACCAAACAAACAAACAAACACCTGATTAGCTGGGCATGGTGGCATATGCCTATAGTCCCAGCTACCCGGGAGGCTGAGGCTGGAGGATCGCTTGAGTCCCAGAGGTCAAGGCTGCAGTGAGCTGTGATCAGGCCACTGCACTCCAGCCTGGGCGACAGAGCATGAGTCTGCCCCAGCCCTGCCTCCAAAAAAAGAAAGGCTAAATAGGAGAACTGATATAACTGAAAACCAAATTAGTTGTGTGAAAGAGCAACTGTCCTGGAAGCTCCCAGAACACAGAGCAATAAGAGATGAAAAATATGACAGCATAGAAAAGAAAGGAACTGGATAGGTCCAGGAGATCCAATACCTGTGCAACAGGAGAGTCCAAAGAAGAAACCAGTAAGAAGGGAGAGAAGTAATACAAGAAAGTTCCTGAGTTATCAGGCCAAAAGAAATAATCTAGTTTGTGGAGTAATATTGACAAAAAAATCTTTACACCTAGATGTATTCTGAAAAAATTCTTAAATTCTAATTGAAATCAACCAACGAACCACAGGCCAGCCTTAGAAAACCATTTCCAGGGCATGGGGTTTTAGGGTCTGACAGACCTGAAGTTCAAATTCCTACTATCCTAACTTACTAGTAGTGTGATAATCTCTTAGAACAATGTATGAAATGGAAGCATAATAGCACCCTCCACCTTTTAGAGTTAATGGGAGATCTAAAAGAGGTAACATTTGCAAAGTGTCTGACATGAAGGGAAGAGATTGGCTTTGGCATCCACAAGTTCACACACTAGCAGAGAACCTCAGTCCAGCTTCCTACGCTCAGGCAGTTCTTTGCCTAGAAGAGGGGTCGGCAAACTATAGCCCAAATTTAGCCCACTGCCTGTTTTTGTAAATAAAATGCTATCAGAACATGGCCATGTTCATTCATTTACATACCATCTATGGCTGCTTTTACATTACAAAGGCAGAGCTGAGTAGATGAGACAGAGACAGTATGGTTACAAACCGAAACTGTTTCAACCCCAACTTCATTCCAGCAAAGTTTTACTTTCTAGATTCAGGCCAGGGAGCAAGCATGAAAATGAAAACCACTAAAATGGTGTCCCGGGACAACAGATACCTACTTGCTATAACTTCTTTCCTTGAAAACAAAGGGCCATATTAATTGAAGGGCTCACCTCTAAACAGGTGAGTGACTTAAGGACTTCAGACACACACTGGTCAACTACAAACTAGTCAGTAAAGGAATAGCCATAGTCCTATAGCCCCAGTTCCTATGGCCCATTTACCTATTGCCACACTTTTTGGTACAAGTATTTATCAGCTCTCAAAGGCAAGGTTGTAATGTTGTTTTAAATGTTTCCTATTGGCTCTAAAAACAGCAATATTCATTGGATTGCCTCTAGAATCTAACCACTGGGTTGAGCCCAATCACCGTTGTTTTGAGCCAAATTATTCAGAAACCTAAATTTCTATTGTCCATCTATCTCCCCTAAGTCCTCTGGAATATCTTTCTAAAACCAAAATCTGACTATGTTACTTCCTTACTCACCATCATCTTCAGGAGATGCTCCAACTCCTGAACTCAGTGGACCACCACACCCATTCTGTTGAGGCCACCTCTGATCACTCCCCACACCTCACACATGTCAACTGCGCACAGATCCTCAAACACATGACTTACTCTTTCATGTCTCTTTGCTTGTGCCCTGTCTGGTGTGTCTTCATTTTCCCCATTTGCTATTTTAATTTAAACTTCCCAAAGCACATCTCTGTGCCTCCTTCCCACTCCCCAGATATAATGAGCCTTCTGAGTTCCCTCAGCACTTTGTGTGATATATCCAATGGCATGTAACTGAGTAGACTTCGGTTCCTGATGTTCACATATTTCCTTCCTGAGATAGGGAAGCATATGCATATATATATTTACATATTTTATATATATTTATATATAAAATTTTTTCTGGACTCCTTGATGCTTAATAGGTACTGAATAAATGCCGAATGTAAAAGGTGCTTAGAGAAAGCCATCATAAACTCATAATAATAATGGCACTATGATAATCCCCGCCCTTTTTTTTTTTGAGACAGAGTCTTGCTCTGTTGCCCAGGCTAGAGTACAGTCACGCAATCTTGGCTCACTGCAACCTCCATTTCCTGGGCTCAGGTGATCCTCCCACCTCAGCGTCCCAAGTGGCTGGGACTACAGGTACGTACCACATGCCTGGTTAATTTTTGTATTTTTAGTAGAGACAAGGTTTCCCCATATTGCTCAGGCTGGTCTGGAACTCCTGGGCTCAAGTGATCCACCTGCCTCAGCCTCCCAAAGTGCCCTAACACTCTTAAAACAAGAATATCAACTCTTTCTAGACTTAAGTAGTAGCTCAAGGACTACTTCTTTACAAATATTAAGAGTCTGATTTTTTTTTTTTTTTTTGAGACAGAGTCTTGCTCTGTCACCCAGGCTGGAGTGCAGTCTGGATCGCAGCCAAGAGCGCGATCTTGGCTCACTGCAACCTCTGCCTCCCAGGTTCAAGCAATTCTCCTGACTCAGCCTCCCGAGTAGCTGGGATTACAGGCGCACACCACCACGCCCGGCTAATTTTTGTATTTTTAGTAGAGATGGGGTTTTATCATATTGGTCAGGCTGGTCTTGAACTCCTGACCTTGTGATCCACCCGCCTTGGCCTCCCAAAGTGCTGGGATTACAGGCGTGAGCCACTGCACCTGGCTGGAATATATTTTAAAATAATATGCATGAGAAAATAACCAGTTTCCTGGACTTCAGAAGAGGAAGAAAAGTTGCCCTCCCTCTCATTTCTTTTTGCTTTGACAATTAAAACATCAGACACTACTGTTCAAAAGCACCCCAAAGACCAGTGCATAAAAACAGGTAGCCCCTAATTCATCTGCATAAGACATAACTGCTTATCAAACCGATTATAATACAAGCATTTCCAAACAGCTGGCTTATTTCTCAAAAAGCATTTGGCTTAAAATTAGAATGGGATATCCAAATTTATAGCAATACTTCTAAAGATCTGCTCTGGTAAAATTGCCATTAGATTTTGGGACTTTAGAGACTGCTGAGAATACCTATGCCTTTTCAGTTTCCTGTTTGGAATTACACAAAATTATTTTTTGACTTAAGAAAGGAGATTTATTACATTAATAGACTTTACATATGTCACAATTAGCAATAATCTAGGTAATTATGGTAATTTTGTTTTCTTAATCACAACATGGAAACTACTTAAATATTGGGTAGGTAAAATAGATATGATATCTGGGGCAAGAAAAGGCTGAATATTATGAAAATATATACTAAATAGAGGAAGGAGTCAACAGATCTTATGTTTCATCTTGAAGCCTACCACTTTGACTTTTGACTTTATTGTAAGGCTGGTTAAGAGAGCAGTTTTAGGGAGCAAGTAAATATCTATCACAATAAAACCTATTTAAGTCTACATTTGATAAAATCTGGCAAGTGAATCTGAACAGCAAAGACACTGTATTAATCCAATGTTTAGTTCCCAAGTTTAGGAAAGTGAGAGGTGGAAAAGTGAGGGAAATCTGTACACAGTATGGTAACACCTCACTATTCCTTACCAAATACAATGGCAGATGGACATCACATAAAGGAAGAGAGTACCCACTTTTCTGACTCAAATGCTCCCTACTTAGTGGGACTTCATATGCCTCCAAGTGTTCCATTACTTAATTACACAGGGAAAATTGTGTATGGTTAAATAACAGAATCAGAAAAAAAACTCAAGTCTGATTTGATAAAATAGAAAATTATGATAAAAACACTGCTTCGAATAGTAACATTTTTAAAACTCAAATGTAATAATCACTTCTTAGAATGTTAGATGATCTCTTTCTCTTTCTCTCATGCTCTTTGATAGCAGCCTTACTGTCATTCTAGGCAAAATGTGCCACACTTCTGCAGACAAGTACCCATGTCCCCCTACTCTCTAGTGACCAGGGACTCAGCAGTCCAGCTTAAACCACAGACACAACATCTCAGGCCATAGAGACTTTACATTTAAGGGCTGAAAATCCATAAAATCCATATAAAGCCACAAAGGGTTGACATTTTATACACTAGGGGAAAAACAACACAAAGAATATTTAAAGGGAACTGTGGCCTAGAAATCAGAAGTAACTAATGGTATAGAAATTATGACCTAATATCACCAAAAAGTAATGTTAACAAAGTGACATGTCAAAGTAAGATATATTTTGTTACTTGTTAAAATACATCATAGCTGTTAGAATCCATAGTCTATATTAAAAAACATACTGAATACAGTACTTGTTTCTATTGCTCTTCTCCATGAGATTAACATGGAAATAACTTAAGGGAAAGTAAACAAACAACACAGCCACAGATGCACACGGTTACCACAGACTGTGAGCAGAGGAAATAAATGAATACTGTACACTGTGTAAAAGGAACAACAGATATAAGGTGAGCAGCTCACCTCTTCTGTCCTTCGAGTCAGAATTACCTGTGTAATAAGTAAAAAATAGAAACATTCATTCAGGTTAAAGAAACACATTACAATTCAATTAGAGTACAACAAAACAAGCTCCAGGATTAGGAATGCTTTCCTCCATGAGGCATCCTCCAACAACTGGGAAACAAGGCTGCCCAGATTCACTAAACTTTGGACAGTGGTCTGGCCTTCTCCCTGGGTACACAAATAGTGCAGCATCAATATTCATAAAAAGTATGAGAATGCAAACAGAACGCATGTTATTAGAGGACTTTATGTCTTTTGCTCCATTAAAATTCAAGAGGACAAAATTAAGTAAGGATACAAAAGACCAAAATGATAAGTAATAAAATCTAATTGGTACATACCAAACTCTACAGACTAACAGAGAAAACCTTCTTTTCAAAGGCGAGTGAAATATCCACAGCCCTTATAAACCCCAACAGTAGAAAGAGTACAATATTCTTTTGTCCCAATGCAATAAAATTAGAAATTGACAAAGTAAGAAAACATTTGAAAATAAAAATCAAAACCAAAATGAGGCCGGGTGCAGTGGATCACCTGAGGTCAGGAGTTCGAGACCAGCCTGGCCAACATGGTAAAACCCCGTCTCTACTAAAAATACAAAACAAATTAGCTGGGCGTGGTGGTGGGTGCCTATAATCCCAGCTACTTGGGAGGCTGAGGCACGAGAATCACTTGAACCCAGGAGGGGGAGGTTGCAGTGAGCCGAGATCATGCCACTGTACTCCAGCCTAGGTAACAGAGCGAGACTCTATTTCAAAGAAAAAAAAAAATCAAAACCAAAATGGGCTGGGCACAGTGGCTCACGTCTTTAATCCCAGCACTTTGGGAGGCTGAGGCACAAGAATTGCTTAAACCTGGGAGGGTAGAGGTTGCAGTGACCCAAGATCACACCACTGTACTCCAGAAGGGGGGCAGAGTGAGATTCCATCTCAAAAATCAAACAGACGGCCGGGCGCGGTGGCTCACGCCTGTAATCCTAACACTTTGGGAGGCCGAAGTGGGCAGATCACAAAGTCAGGAGAATGAGACCATCCTGGGTAACACAGTGAAACCCTGTCTCTAATAAAAATACAAAAAAAAAATTAGCCAGGCGTGGTGGTGTACGCCTGTAGTCCCAGCTACTTGGGAGGCTGAGGCAGGAGAATGGCGTGAACCAGGAGGCAGAGCTTGCGGTGAGCAGAGATCACGCCACTGCACTCCAGCCTGGGCAACAGAGCGAGACTCCATCTCAAAAAAAAAAAAAAAAATCAGACAAACAAAAAACCCAAAATGGAAAAATACCTTAAAAATAACAATGACGAGAAGTTTTGTGACAGAACCTGCCAACTCTCCTCCCCTCAGATCAGTCTCTTTCTCTTCTTGCCTTGATACAGAACCTTTGTTTTTTAGCTGAGCACCAAGCTCTCCTGGCAGACTATATTTGAGACTCCTTTGTGCTAGGTGTGGTCATGTGATGAATTCTAGCCAACGGGATGTGAGCTAAAGCAATGTGAGTAACTTCCAGGTCACATCTTTTGGAAGAGAAATGGCCCCTATTCCCTTTGTTTGTCCTTCGCAGTGGTTGGAACTAGAACCCAATGGTGAGAACTATCTCTAACCAAACAGATAAGGGCAATATTGTTAGGATGGCAGGGCCACAAGAGGAAAGGAATTTGGTCCCTACTGAGACGAAGGCCCTGTCTACCTCTGGAATGTAACTGGGGAGAGAAAGACACTTTGGTCTTATTTAAGTCACTGAATTTTGGTATCTTTGTCAGAGCAGCTTATAGCGCATCCTAATACAACTGCCTATAGAAACACCTATGGGATGTGGCTAAAGCTGTGCTTGTTCAAAATTCACAGCACTAAATATGTTAATTAACTGGAAAGAATGCAATTAAAGCACACTCAATTCAAGAAGATAGAAAAAGAACAAAATAAATCTAAAGAAGGTAGAAAGTAAAAATCAATGAAATAGAAAACGTAAACATAAAAGGACTATAAATGCACAATAGCAAGTTCTTTGGAAGAAAAAAGGCAATAAACCTATGAAATAAATGGTTATTCAGCCTAAACAAAAAAAAAAAGGAGACATAAAGTAAACAAAATTTAAAAATTAATAGCTCTGTAGGCTATTATAATAAATAATCACAAGGGAGAACTTTTCCTCATTCAAATACATTTGAAAACATGAATGAAATGGCCAGATGTGGTGGCTCACACCTGTAATCCTAGCACTTTGGGAGGCTAAGACAGGAGAATCATGTGAGCCCAGGAGTTCAAGACCAGCCTGGGCAACATGGCGAAACCCCATCTCTACAAAAAAATACAAAAAATTAGCTGGGCATGGTGGAACACACCTGTAATCCCAGCTACTTGGGAGGCTGAGGTGAGAGGATCACCTGAGCCCAGGAGGTGCAGGCCGCAATGAGCCGAGATCATGCCACTGCACTCCAGCACTAGGCAACAGTGAAAAAGCCTGTCTTAAAAAAAAAAAGCATATTTTTTAGTGTAAACTTTCAAATCCTTTCCATGTAGCAAAACAAAACACTAAAAACTAAAACTTATCAAAAAGAATACACACACAAAGGAAAAACATAGATCAATCTCATTTAGAGATAATTTGAGAATATCTAGACAGAGAAAATTCTAAATGAAAAAAATAAGAAATAATATCAAATAGACTGCAACAGCTTGTTACAGGAACGATACAATATGTTTGGGCGGCCTTGGCTCATGCCTATAATCCCAGTGCTTTGGAAGGCTAAGGCTGAGGACTGCTTGAGGCCAGGAGTTCATGACCAGTCTGGGCAACACAGTGAGTCCCTGTTTCTGAGAAAATTTAAAAATTAGCTGGGCGTGGTGACATGCGCCTATAGTCCTTAGCTACTCAGAAGTCTGAGGTGGGGTTTGCTTAAGTCTGGGAGTTCAAGGTTACAGTGAGCCATGATCGTGCCACTGTACTTCAGCCTGGATGACTCAAAGGAAAAGACTTAAAGCAAAGCAAAGGTCAACAGAAAAGAAAAATTAAGAAGATTAAAGAATTAATTCAGAGCAAGACCCTGTCTCTAAAAAATGAATAAATAAAAACTGGCAGGGCGCAGTGGCTCACACCTATAATCCCAGCACTTTGGGAGGCTGAGGCAGGATCATGGGGTCAGGAGTTCGAGACCAGGTTGGCCAACATGGTGAAACCACGTCTCTACTAAAATACAAAAAATTAGCCGGGCATGGTGGTGCGTGCCTGTAGTCCCAGCTACTCGGAGGCTGAGGCAGGGGAATCACTTGAACCCGCGAGGTGGAGGTTGCAGTGAGCTGAGATGGCGCCACTGCACTCCAGCCTGGTAACAGACTCCATCTCAAAATAAACAAACAAACAAACAAACCTAGGAATAGAATCCACCATAGAAACAGACCAAAAGAGAAAAAAAATCATTCAGATCTTTCTCATTGATCCTGAACAGGCAACTGGCAAAATTTAACACCCATTCCTAACATAAACGCTCATTAAATCCTGAACACAATAAAATATGTTTATCTCAACTCAAGAGTCAGTACCACGTATAATGAAAAACCACTGAAAGTGTCCTCCTTAGTGTCAGATACAAGAGAATGCTGTCTGCATTTACCAGCTGCTTAACTTTGTTCTGGAGGTATTCATCAATGCGATTAAACAGAAGAAAAAGAAAGTTCTAAAAATTTGGAAGATATATGCAGATGAGATGACTTGAAGCCATAAAAATTAATGAAGAAAATTACTTCCAATACTAAGAGAGTTTAAGGTGGCCAGTACAAAATGTCTCTACAAAAATCAGTAGCCTTCATATCCCCAACAGCAGCCAGTTAGAAGATCTGATGGAAGAAAATGCTCCATTTATAATTACAAAAACAGAAGATTTAAAAAAAAAAGACTTCAGAAAATGGAATATATTGCATTCTTGGATAGTTAGACTCAACATCTGTAAGATGCCATTTTCTCTGTTAATCTACGTATTTAACATGATCAATACAAACTTTTTTTCCTGCTAGACAAGTTAATTCTAATGTTTATAATAAGAATTGCTAACAAAATTCTGAAAAATAAAATTAACAAGGAATGACTCATTTTACTGGATATTAAATACTTTACAAAGTTACAATTATTGAGACAGTGAGGCTTTGCACATGGACAGAGAAAAAGATTAATAGAAAATAAAATGAATGTTCCCAAATACTCAAATACATATGAAGAGGTAAATAAATATCTGAATTCAATATATAAGATAGGTGGCATTTCAAATCAATGAGGAAAAATAAATTATTAAGGGGTATTGGGACAAGTTAGATATTTGGGGAAAAACAGATCCATAGCTCACTCTGCATCAGAATAAATTCGAGACAGACTTAAGTGCGTGTACACACACACACACACACACGAAACCATAGAAGTCCAGAAGAAAATTATTTTTATAATCTTGGAGTAAGGAAAGCCTTCCTAGATATGACCCAATTCCTAGAAAACCTAAACTGAGAAATATTTAAATTAAAAAAATTAAAAATAGCTAATGATATCTTCTGCAATGCAGAAAATCTAGATGACCACCTAGGGAACAACATTTGCAGTTTTACCATAGGCAAAGGACTCATTTCCCAAACGTACAAAGAACATCTACAAACGAGTCAGGAAAACCTTGACACTCTAATAAAAATGGGTAAAGAATATCAACAGAGAATGCTCAGAAAAATAAATGATCTTTTAAATTACACAAAATTGCTCAATCTCAGCAAAATGCAAATTAAACTTACACTGAGATGTTATTTTTCACCTGTCAGATTGGCAGAGATCCCCAAGTTTAACAATTCACCACACTGAAGAGAGTTTAGAAAAATAGGCACTTTGACATATTGTTAATAGGAATAGACTTCCTAGCAGAGGTAAATGTGGCAATATCCATAAATTTATAAATGCAGACTTAAAATAATTCATCCTGCTAATATTCTCATATGTGTCTGAAATGACAAACTGTATTGTTTATAAGAGTACTCTGAAAACAATCTTAGTGTCCACTGATGGGGAAACTGGATAAAGAGATTAAGGTATATCCTTCAATACAGCAGCTCTTTACTAAAACAAAGAGCAAGTATGATAGGGTAACTGAAAAAGCAATATGCAGAAATCAACTCAGCATATCTATTATTTATATTATAAATGGAAAAAATGAATATATATGCTTTTGTAAAAGGAGTTATTTATTTATTTATTATTTATTTAGAGAGAGAGTCTTGCTCTGTTGCCCAGGCTGGAGTGTAGTGGCGCAATCTCGGCTCACTGCAAGCTCCACCTCCTGGGTTCACGCCATTCTCCTGCCTCAGCCTCCAGAGTAGCTGGGACTACAGGCACCTGCCACCACGCCCAGCTAATTTTTTTTTGTATTTTTTAGTAGAGATGGGGTTTCACCATGTTAGCCAGGAGGGTCTTGATCTCCTGACCTCGTGATCTGCCCGCCTCAGCCTCCCAAAGTGCTGGGATTACAGGCATGAGCCGCCGCGCCCGGCCTATTTATTTACACCATGTTAGCCAGGAGGGTCTTGATCTCCTGACCTCGTGATCTGCCCGCCTCAGCCTCCCAAAGTGCTGGGATTACAGGCATGAGCCGCCGCGCCCGGCCTATTTATTTATTTTTAAAAGGTATTCTAGGCTGGGCGCAGTGGCTCACGCCTGTAATACCAGCACTTTGGGAGGCCGGGGCAGGTGGATCATGAGGTCAGGAGTTCGAGACCAGCATGGCCAACATGGTGAAACCTGTCTCTACTAAAAATACAAAAAACAGCTGGGTGTGGTGGTGGGCATGTGTAATCCCAGCTACTCAGGAGGCTGAGGCAGGAGAATTGTTTGAACCCTGAAGGCAGAGTTTGCAGTATGCCGAGACTGCGCCATTGCACTCCAGACTGGGCGACAGGGTGAGACTGTCTCAAAGAAAAAAAAAAAGGTATTCTACCTTTTTACTTGTCACTGATTTTTTTTTTTTGAGATAGAGTCTCGGGTCTCACTCTGTTCCCCAGGCTATAGTGCAGGGACTTGACTCACTGCAACCTCCACCTCCCAGGTTCAAGCAATTCTCATGTCTCAGCCTCCCAAGTAGCTGGGATTACAAGTATATGCCAACACGTTTGACTAATTTTTTTATTTTTAGTAGGTAGACAGAGGGTTTTGCCATGTCGGCTAGGCTGGTCTTGAGCTCCTGGCTTCAAGTGATCCACCTGCCTTGGCCTCCCAAAGTGCTGGGATTACAGGAGTGAGCCACCACACCAGGCCTATTTATTTTTGAGATGAGGTCTCCCTCTGTTGCCCAGACTGGAGTACGGTGGTGCGATCACAGCTCACTGCAGCAGCCTCAACTGCCAGGCCTCAAGTAATCCTCCTGCCTCAGCCCTGAGTAGCTGGGACCACAGGCATGAGCCATTAGGCCCTGCTAATTTCTAAATCATTTGTAGAGATGAGGTTTTGCTGCGATGCTTAGGCTGGTCTCAAACTCCCGGGCTTAAGCGATCCTCCTGCTTCAGCCTCCCAAAGTGCTGGAATTACAGATATAAGCCACTGTGCCTAGCTGGCCTTTGTTTATTTTTAAAAGGAGAAAAAGACTCAAAGCAAAGATCAACAGAAAGGAAAAATTTTAAAGATTAAAGAATTAATTCAGGATACATCCAATATCCAAATATTAAGAATTTGAGAAAAAAAAAAAAGGAAGAGGGGGAGAAGGTTTCAAAGAAATGGGAGAAAATTTTCAGAAATGCAAGATCAAGGCTCTAAAGGGCCTATTAAGTATCCATAATAATGAACGAAAAAGACCCACATCAAGATACATCTCTGTGAAATTTCAGGATACTGATGATAAAGAGAAGATCCTAGAAAGCATACAAACAATTAGGGATTAAGATAGCAGTAAAATCCTCCAAACCTGGTAAACAGGTGTCAGTTAGGGCATTACTTTAAAAATTCTGGGGGAAAAATATTCCTCAAATTCTATGCACAGCCCTAAAGATATTTTTAGATATGTAAGGATGCAATTTGCCTCCCATGGACCCCTTTTCTCAGGAATCTACCGAATGATGAGAAGACAAAAAGGAAGACAATATGGAAGTCAGGAAGCAGCAGCAAGGGGAATTCCCAGAATGACAGAGAAGGGAAATCTCAGGCTGATGTATCTGTGTAGTAGCCCTAGAGATCGACAAGCCTAGACTGGAATAAGACAATGGAGGGCTCAGGAGGAATTTCTAGAGGTAAAAAAGAAATAGATTATCTAACAGATCTCACTTTGTAGAAAGCTGTTTTGAGAGGCTCTGGAGAGCATGGTAAGAATTGAGTAGCAATAACTTTTTTGAGACATGGTCTCGCTTTGTCACCCAGGCTGGAGTGCAGTGGTATGAACACAGCTCACTGCAGCCTCAACCTCCTGGGCTTAAGCAATCCTCCCACCTCAGGCTCCTGAGTAGCTGGGACTACAAGCACATGCACCCATGCCCAGCTAATTTTTGTATTTTTTGTAGAGATGGGGTTTCACCATGTTCCCCAGGCTGGTCTCAAACTCTTGAGCTCAAGTGATCTGTCCACCTTGGCCTCCCAAAGTGCTGGGATTACAGGTGTTAGCCAGTGTGCCTGGCCTGACTAAATAGAAAACTAAATAAACAAAAAATAAGGTAAGTATTAAATCCAGAAAAAAAACTGTACAAGAAAAACAATCCATTTATACTTATAGCTCAGCAATGAATATTTCATAATTACAATAATATACATCAAATACTGATTTAATAAAAAATTGTAACTGTTACAGGAGGACTGGTAAATGGTGGTGATAAGTGGGATGTGGGGTTTAAGACTATGAAATTCCCATGTGCGATAATGGTTTCTTGTGTTTTACTCATCTTGAATAAACGCCACTAGAGAAACATAGTCTCAGCCTCCTATGACGTGAACTGTGTTAAATGTACAATAACTAGATTCTTAGCTGTGGCACAATTTGGACCTAAGTCAGTTTATGGAAAACTAAGTTCCCTACAAGCAGAGTGGAAAGACCGCAAAAGTGAGAAATAGGCCTAATTTGTCAGCCTTGAGATCTAAAACAAATCATTTAACCTCTATATACAGTCTGAAATCAAGCATCTGTTAAAAGGAGATGATTATCCATGGTCATGTCACAGAACTGTTAAATGAAAGACAGTACACAATAGAACATGGGCTGTTCAGTCAGTCAGGCCTGTGTTACAGTCTCCACCTTTTCCATTCACTCATACAGTTTGTACAAGTTATCCTGCCTTTCTCCCTAAGCAATGGCCACAACCCAACATTTTATGTTGTTACTAAAATTTCAAAAAATTGTATGTAACATTAAAAGAATAAACATGGAACTGGATCATCCATTAAAATAAAACAAAACAAACAACTAGTGGTGGCCTGCTAAAGTGATTTCATGAATTGTGTCATGACCTGTACACTGAAAAACATTCCACAAATTATGGTTTCATCATTGTAAAATACTTTCACCTATAAAACATAAAATAGAACTTAATTCATAGGATTATTCTAGAAAACTCTTAGTACGATGCCTAGCACACAGTAATAACTATGACAAAACTACATTAACTCTAAAGCACAAAGCAAGTATCAGACATTATTTGTCTGCAGTCCCCTATCTCATCAAGAATAGTGGGATGCCATCTGCATTAAAGGTACCTTCATATATTTTACTGGTAACTATCAGAGCAATAACCACAACAATACTAACAGCTCACACTTAAAAATAGTGCTTACCATGTGTAGGCACCTTTATAAGTGCTTTACCCATATTAACTTGTTTAATCCTAATATCTCCTCTATGAGGTAAGAACTATTACTATCACTCATTCTTGTTTCACAGATGAACAAACCGAGGTAGAGAGATAAAGTAAGCCAGCTATGCCATAAACATGGCTGGTTTATGGAAGAGCTGGGATTCAAACTCAGTGTGGCACTGAAGACTGTGCTCTTAACTGCAAATGCTGTCTTGTCTTTACGGTAGAAAATATGGGGAAAAGCTGGCAGGTGAAGGGTCTGAGTTATAAGGCGCAGTAAAAGATATCATCTGTAGTAACAAATGAGAATCAACTGAGCAAACAGTTCCTGAATGTTCCACATGAGCGAGATGTGATTCTGCTTAGGGGCACTCACCATCTAACTGGGAACACAGAAGAGGAAAGAGTGATTTTTGCTAGAAAAGGGATGACAGTTACATAGCAATCAGGTAATGATTATTTCCTTTACTCCTCATAGAAGCCCTTTGAGGGTATCTCTAATCCTCTTTTACAGACAAGGTACCTAAGGTTCAAAGAGGTCAGAAACTTGTCTTACCTGCCCTGGTCTCAGATCCACGTCTCTGATTTTCTCCTTGGGACTACTGCTTCAACCTGAGGCCCTGAACAACTGGCACTGCAATGTAACCATTTCCCAGAGCCTGATGCCACCCCTGGCCACTGGCCTGCCACTCCATATCTAACTGTCATGGACATCAATGTCCATTCTCCTTTCCATGGTCTCCATGGATCCCTCCCTTTCCAAACCTAATCTTATTACTCATTCTCTGTATCTCACATCTAACTGTCATGGACATCAATACCCATTCTCCTTTCCATGGTCTCCACGGATCCCTCCCTTTCCAAACCTAATCTTATTACTCATTCTCTGTATCTTTTCATCTTCAGTCTCTTGCATCGTCAATGAGCTCCTCTATTTCTCTTGTCTTTTTAAGCCTTCTTCTCTACCTTTAAACACATTTAAGTCCTCTCAATCTAACCAGGATCCCACCTAGCAGAAAGATATTCTCCAGAATCTTTCTTCTTTCCTCTTCACTCATGCTAACCCAAAAATTCCACATACAGGTTTCATTACTTCACTTGAGCAATTTTACTTATTTGAAGAAATTTTAAGGCTAGAAAACACAAACAAGATAATAAAAGGAAGACTAAACTCAAAGAGCAAAAGAACAAACAGAATCATCTCTAGTACCTGAAGGAGGGAAAGTTTCTGGAGTGGTTGCTGCGGTGCTGGAATTCCCCTCCCAGGGTTCTGTTCTGGCATCCGTGAACTGGTTATCTGGAAGCCACGTTCCATTTGGTGAAATTGTAATGCCTATAGAATTGGTGCTTGCTGTTCTTGTGGTCCCATTGTCAGAGTCTGAAGAATTGACAGTGGTTAAATAGGTGGGTCCCAGAGTTATATTTGGGCTGAATGTTGGTGCCACAGAAAGAGAAGTTAGTGAAGAAGTTGGATTTGAAGTTTTGGCCTCTTCTTTAACTGGTTCTGCCGTTGATGAGTTAATTAATCTTGTAATTCCTACAGAAGGTGCAACTACAAACACCAAAAAACAAGGAAATAGCACATGAAGAATGTGAGGCTAAAAAGCTGTGAGACACAAAGCAGCAAGCCTTAATAAACTCTCAAACATATGGAGACCAAGCAAAGACCAATCCCCCTCAACACCACCCACCCCCTACGTTTTTATCTCATGCTGGACCTTTCCTACCTCCTCCAAAGGACTACGGTTTAAGGGAGAAAGACACAAGATTCTTCACTTAGTTCCTCAGAAACCATATATAGAGTTGTAAATGTCAACAATTTATTTTACTTTTCAGGAAAGAACACATAATCTCTTTGATTTATTTAAAGCAGTTATGTATGTATGAAAAACAATGCTGAGCATTCAATTCCAAGATTTCTGAAGACACCTATTTTACCATCACTTTGAATAAAATTTTTATATTCCTTTCTTCAAATACCATCTCGGTTTTCAAATGTGGCTCATTAAATGTGAAAGCAAAATTTCATTTCAAATAGCAGCCTTATCAAATGACAATTTACCTGTGGTAGCATTGTTGGCACTGACACATATCAGACCACTGCCGAGCAGAACAAGAATGAACCAGGAATCCATGCTTATCTGGAAAATAGGGAGTCATGTTAGATGAGGTCCTATATTATCAGGACTATGTCTGAGCTGGTCACCAGAAGAGTATTCTGGATTTCCAAGCTATTAAAATGTGTGCCTAAACCAATGATCTTTTGGGAGCCTGATATGCATGCTTCCTCAGATATCCAATAACTAATTGAGTCTTTATAAAGACTGACTATCCCTTATCTTGAGGACTAGCAGTGTTTCAGATTTTTTTTAAGAGATAGGGTCTTGCTCTGTTGCCCAGGATGGAGACAGTGGTTATGATCATAGCTCAGTGCAGCCTCTACCTCCTGGACTCAAGTGATCCTTCTGTCTCAGCCTCCTGAGTAGCTGGGACTATAGGCATGTACTACGATGCCTGGCTAATTTTTAAAATTTTCTGTAGAGACGGCGTCTCACTATGTTGTCTAGGCTGCTCTCAAACTCTTGGGTTCAACTGATCCTCTTGCTTCAACTTCCCAAAGTGCTATGATTACAGGTGTGAGCTCCCACACCTAGTCCCTAATCCAAATTTTGAAATCCAAAATGTCCCAGTGAGCATTTTTTTGAGCATCATGTCTGCGCTCAAAAAGTTTCAAATTTTGGAGCATTTCAGATTTTGGGATTAGAGATATCCAACCTGTAAAAATAAGTCTTAATAGGACTCCTTTTTTATTTTTTTTTGAGACGGAGTCTTGCACTGTCGCCCGGGCTGGAGTGCAATGGTGTGATCTTGGCTCACGGCAACCTCCGCCTCCCGGGTTCAAGCAATTCTCCTGCCTCAGCCTCCCGAGTAGCTGAGATTAGAGGCATGTGCCACCATGCCCGGCAAATTTTTAGTAGAGATGGGGTTTCTCCATGTTGGTCACGCTGGTCTCAAACTCCTGACCCCAGGTGACCTCCCAGCCTCAGCCTCCCGAAGTGCTGGGATTACAGGCGTGAGTCATCACATCTGGACCAAAAAACTTTTTTAAAAAAGTCACCTGTGCTAGACTACAGCTTTGTGGGTGAGAGCTAGGGAGCAGTCCCTTTTAAAGCTCCCAAGTTGATTGCTAGGTGCAGCTTTACAGTTTTCAGAGTGAGAAGTATGGAGAAGGTAGGCTGATTGCACTGATGTACTGCTGCCCTTCAAGGAACACATTATATAGCTGTTCTCAACCTTTATTCCACCTCGAACCATGTAAGATAGTAGCATGTCCCCACCAGTAATAGTGGTTTGTTCATCCATTCAGATTTTTATGCCCTATACTGAGCTAGTGCTAGAGAAACAACTGGGGAGCAATACACTCATGAGCCCCATCTTCACAGGACTCACAGTCTAAAGTGTTCAATGTGGTAGTGACTCTCCAAGGGAAGTAGGACACACATCCTTAAGGGACACATGAAAATCTCAAGGGTAGGGGGGGAAGAGAAGGAGATGTAGGTGGTTCATATATACTCCAGGAGTTTGCCCCTGGTACCAGCAGCCGTGCCTAGCAGGGAAATGGGTTCAGCAGTGGCCTTCAGGTGCATCCACAGAAGATTTTGACAATTTCCCCATTCTTCCTAGGCTGTGATCATTAAACCAGTGATATACTGTTAGATTTTCATAAAACTTACATTTTATAACTCTGTTTGGATAGTGAATTAACATGGATCTCTGGCAGAACCCAGCTCAATTACTACCTGAGCCTAATCCAAAATTGGAAACTCATACAATTTCCTTCACAAGGGTCAAACAACAAGTGGAAGGCTGACTATTATATATGTATATGTATACATGTCTATTCTTGATAAATTAATAGAAAATGGTTTTGGGAAAAATAACTACATATTTGAGAGGAGGGAGTTAGACCACCACCTCATTCCATATACCAAAATAAATTCCACATAGGTTTAAAAATTAAATGCTTGAAAACACATTTTAAAAGAAAATAAATGAATATGTGAGCTCAGGATGAGGAAAAACTTTCTAAGCATAAAAGGCAATTAAGAAATCATAAAGGTAGAAGTGGAATATCTGACAGAAAAAACAAAAGCTCCTAAACATAAAGAAGAAGCCCATCATAAATAATGTTTATGGACAGGAAGACTCAATATTGTCAAGATGTCAGTTATTCCCAAATAAGCCTATAGATTCAATGCAATCTCAATCATAATCTCAGCAAGTTATTTTGTGAATATAAAAATGCTGATTCTAAAGTTTACATGGAGAGACATTAAGATTCTGAAGGGGCAACTCAATATTAAAGAAGAGTCAAAGATTAATGCTATTGGACTTCAAGACTTACTTTAAAGCTATGGTAATTAAGACTGTGGTATTAGCAAAAGAAAAGGCAAACAGATCAATGGAACGGAACAGAGATCATAAACAGACCCACATAAATATAGTCAACTGACAAAGGAGCAAAGGCAATAAAATGGAGCAAGATAGTCTTTTCAACAAATGATACTGGAAAGGGACAGCTACATATAGAAAAATTAATCCATATCAGACCTTATTATCTTTCACAAAAATTTAACTAAAAATGAATCATAGACCTAAATATCAATCATAAGACTATAAAATGCCAAGAAGATAACAGGAGAAAATCTAGATGACTTTGGGTATGGCGAGAACTTTTTAGATATAACATCAAAGGCATGATCCATGAGAACATAATTGATAGTCTGGACTTCATTAAAATATAAAATGTCTACTCTGTGAAAGACAATGCCAAGAGAATCAGAGGATAAGCCACAGACTAGGAGAAAATATTTGCAAAAGATAGATCTGACAAAGGACAGAGAATTCTTAAACTCAACAAGAAAAATAACAACCAGATTAAAAATGGGCAAAAGACCTGAAGAGACACCTCACCAAAGAAGATAAACAGTACGGCAAATAAGCATCTGAAAAGACACAGAACATCAAGTCATTAGGTAATTGCAAATTAAAACGGGATACCACTACACATCTATGAAAATGGATTTTGGTTTTAAAATCCAAAACATTTGACAATACTACATGTTTGTAAGAATATGGAGCAGCAGGAACTCTCATTCACTGCTGGTGGGAATGCAAAATGGTACATCCACTTTGGAAGGCAGCTTGGTAGTCTCTCAAAAAAATAAATAAGCTCTTACCATATGATCCAGCAATTGTGCTCCTTGGTATTTAACCAAATGAGATGAAAACTTATGCCACTTAAAAAAAACCTGCACATGGATGTTTACAGCAACTTTATTTATAATTGCCACGACTGGGAGCAATCAAGATATCCTTCAGCAGGCGAATGGATAAATAAGTGATGGCACATCCAGACAATGAAATATTACTCACTGCTAAAAAGAAATAAGCTAAAAACATGAAAATACGTAGAAGAAACTTAAACATATATTACTAAGTGACAGAAGCCAATGTGAAAAACCATGGAGACAGTAAAAGATCACTGGTTAAAAAAAAAAAAAGAAAATAAAAAAGGCCAGGTGCGGTGACTCATGCCTGTAATCCCAACACCTTGAGAGGCCAAGGCAGGCAAATTGCTTGAGCTCAGGAGTTCAAGACCAGCCTGGACAACACAGCAAGACCACATTTCTATAAAAAATACAAAACTTAGCTGGGCATGGTGGTGTGTGTGTGTAGTCTCAGCTATTTAGGAGGCTGAGGTGGGAGGATCACTTGAGCCTGGGAGGTCGACGCTTCAGTGAGGAGTGATCATCACTGCACTCAGGCCTGGGTGACAGAGCAAGACCTTGTTTTTTAAAAAAAAGGTAGGGCGTGGTGGCTCATGCCTGTAATCCCAGCTTTGGGAGGCCGAGGTGGGCGGATCACGAGGTCAGGAGATCGAGACCATCCTGGCTAACATGGTGAAACCCCGTCTCTACTACAAATACAAAAAATTAGCCGGATGTGGTGGCGGGCACCTGTAGTCCCAGCTACTCGGGAGGCTGAGGCAGGAGAATGGCATGAACCCGGGAGGTGGAGCTTGCAGTGACCCAAGATGGCGCCACTGCACTCCGGCCTGGGGGACAGAGTGAGACTCCGTCTCAAAAAAAAAAAAAAAAAATCAGTGGTTGTGCAGTTAGGAAAAGGGAGAGAGGAGTAAGCAGGTGGAGCAGAGGACTGTCAGGGCAGTCAAATTCTTCTGTATGATACTACAATGGTAGACACATGTCATTATACATTTGTCCAAATCTACAGAATGTACAACACCAAAGCTTGGGTGATAATGAGGAGTCAATGTTGGTCCATCAATTGCAACAAAGGTACCACAGTGGTGTAGGATGTGGATAATGAGGAGGCTGTGCAGGTGTTGGGGACAGGTGGTATTTAGGAATGCTCTATATTTTCTTTCTTTCTTTTTTTAGGACGGAGTCTCACTCTGTTGCCCAGGCTGGAGTGCAGGGGCATGACTGTGGCTCACTGTAACCTCCACCTCCCAGGTTCAAGAGATTCTTCTGCCTCAGCCTCCTGAGTAGGTACAGTTACAGGTGTGCACCACCACACCCAGCTAATTTGTGTATTGTTAGTAGACATGGGGTTTCATCATATTGGCCAGGCTGGTCTTAAACTCCTGACCTTGTGATCTGCCCACCTTGGCCTTCCAAAGTGCTGGGATTACAGGTGTGAGCCACCGCGCCTGGCCGGAACTCTCCATACTTTTTGATCAATTTTGCTGTGAACCTGAAACTCTCTAAAACACAAAGTCTATTTTAATTTTTATTTTTTCTTATTTCTCTAAGAAAAAAAAAGTCTATTTTAAAAAAGAAAATGAACTGTCATAAATAATTGAAACAAGAACTCATAACAATACTGAAAACATAACAGTCCAATTTTGAAAAATCTGAAGGACCTAAACAGATAATTTACAGACGAGAAAAACGAACAGCTAAGAAAATACACAAAGAAGTGTTGACTGTCCCCACTAATCAAATGAATATAATGAGATTACATTTTTATTTTCCAAATCAGAAGAGATCAATCATATGAAATATCCAGTGGTTAAATACTGGTGGGAGTAACAATTAGCCTACAATAAAAATTCCTTTCCAGAAAGGTAATACAAGAACAAGGGAAAAGAACAAATGCATGGTGATGGAAGCTGTGGAGAGAATTGGTATGCGTACACTAGGGAGGAAAAGACACATCAGAAGTTAAGAAGATCCATGTCACTAACAGGTACTATATCCATAGACCACGACCAGGAAAATCACAGTGAAAACCTCATCCGTCTCCGAGAAAGACTTTGAGGCAAACTCCTGTGACTTCCCGACCCCCCATATACAATGCATTTGCAACAACACTATCCTTACTTCTCTCTCTGGTTTCCAAATTTCTACTCCAACATCTCAGAGCTCCATTTCAGGAAGTAGGGTTGAGGTCCTCCTCACTCCTCAAGAATGCCATATGCAAAGCATTTCTCCTGGAGCCTGCTCTAACAGTCCCTGTTCTTTTTTTTTTTTTTTTTTTTTGATACAGTCTCGCTCTGTTGCCCAGGCTGGAGTACAGTGGTGTGATCTAGGCTCACTGCCACCTCCGCCTCCTAGGTTCAAGCAATTCTCCTGCCTCAGCCTCCCAAGTAGCTGGGATTACAGGCGCGTGCCACCATGCCTGGCTAATTTTTGTATTTCTTTTTTTTTTTTTTTTTTTTTTTTTTTAGTAGAGATGGGGTTTCACCATGTTGGCCAGGCTGGTCTTGAACTCCTGACCTCAAGTGATCCACCCGCCTTGGCCTCCCAAAATGCTAGGATTATAGGTGTGAGCCACTGTACCCGGCTTAACAGTCCCTGTTCTTGAAAGCTTTTTGCCCTGTGCTTTCCTATCACTGAAGACACTGTAAGTGGCTCAGTTTCCTTCCTGTCCCCCAGGCCTGCTATTCTCCTGGATGACTTCAATATCCTCATGGATGACAACCAAAATCCCCATCTAGGCCAGCCTCTCAGTTCCTTGACTTCCTTCACTCCAACAACGCTTTATCTCTGCTACACTTGGGCCACTCACGACAATGGCTGTACTCCAGATGCTGTCATCACCCAGAAAAGCCCCCATACTGAATAAATCTTGCCTTCCCACTCTCCAACCACACTTTCTATCCTTGTAGTTCTCTCTGTTATGTCTACCACACCTGCTCTCTGACCTCACCCAGGCCTTCAGTCTCTTGAACCCCTCTCTAATTCTTTTCAATATCTCTGCTCTATCTTTATTTCCTTTTCTACCAAATCAAGAAAACTTGGTGTCAGTTCAATCATTCTTTTGTCCTAACTTCCTTCACTACACTGTTCTTCTTTTACACCAACATGGAAAGAAAAATCCCAAACTGTCAGCCCTATACTTGGACTGCCAGATGCTGCTTAAAAAAAAAAAAAAATCAAATAACTCATAAGGGTTGTATCACTACAAATCACTATTTCCGCTTCAGTGGAACCCTAAGCACTTTCTGCAGTCTTTCTGTCTTTCCTTAGCTCTCTCCAATTCTCCATAGCGGTGCCTTCAAACCTCCTCTCCCCTCTAACCATCTCCTCCCACACATGTGGCTGTTGGCCTTGCCTACCCTTCCAAGAAAATAAAAGCCATTGGACTAGACACCCTTAACTCCCCAGTCACTATATCCAGAAATTTTCCCCTTCCCTGAAATTCCATCCAGGAATCTCAGTCCTTTAGGAACCCTGCATTTTTTTCTACCACCATCTCTAGCTTTAACCCCTCCCTTTCATACCAGTTTTTAACACAATTAAGTTTTCAAAGAAGATGAAAAATTTCTTTGCATCTACATCAATCCTTCAGCTATCATTGTCTCTACTCTGCTTCATAGCCAAATCTCTAGAAAGAGTTGTCTCTCCATGGCAATCTGGCTTCTTGTTCCACCATTCCACTAAAACAGCTGCTTCCAGCCTAAAAGTAAAATGGGTAAACGATATGAAACATAACTCACAAAAAACCATACAGTTCTCTTAAATCTATGAAAAGATGCTCAACCTCACTGATGATCAAAGAAATCAATGCTGAGATACCATCTTTTTTTTTTATTATTTGAGACGGAGTCTCGCTCTGTCGCCCAGGCTCGAATGTTGTGGCGCGATCTCGGCTCAGTGCAAGCTCCGCCTCCCAGGTTCATGCCATTCTCCTGCCTCAGCCTTCCGAGTAGCTGGGACTACAGGTGCCCGCCACCACGCCTGGATAATTTTTTGTATTTTTAGTAGAGACAGGGTTTCACTGTGTTGGCCAGGATGGTCTCGATCTCCTGACCCCGTGATCTGCCCGCCTCAGCCTCCCAAAGTGCTGGGATTACAGGCGTGAGCCACTGCGCCTGGCTGAGATACCATTTTTTAATCTATCACACTGGCGAACATAAAAAACTTTGATAATGCTGCATTGGCAAGAGTTTGAGTAAACAGGTACTCTCATATAATCTATAAATATTCATCAGAATTACAAATGCACAACCCCTCTGACACAATTCCACTTCTGGAAACTTATTCCACGGATACATATCCATACTTTCAAAGTGACCCATGTACAAGGTTATTCAATGTAGCATTGTTTTCAAGAGAAGAATACTGGAAATACCCTTAACGTCTATCAATGGGGGAGAGAGACATGATTAAATAAATTATGGCTGATTTATTTATTTATTTATTTATTTATTTATTTATTTTTATTTACTGAGACAGGGTCTTGCTCTCTCACTCTGGTTGGAGTGCAGTGGGACAATCATTGAACTTGGAAGGATAAAGAGTAATTGGCCAAGACAAGGGTCAGACATAGTCTTTCAAACTGAGATGACTTGGAAGCTTGAAAAAGCCTGTCTGGTCCTGGCAACAAGAAAGACCTAGGTAAGGACATCACAGGGGGCTTCAATAAATATCTGCTAAATGAATGTAAAAATGGCAGACATGAAAGACTAGGGTGGGTGAGGAAAGGGTGGGGCGGGGAAATGCACACAATGAGGCTCGAGGAGGCAGCGATCATATCATGAAGGGGCCTGTACATTACAGTGAAAGTTTTAACTTACCACTGAACACACTGAAGAACTACCAAAGGTTTTATCACAGCAAGGTTAAATGGAACAATTTAGATTTTAGAAGCAATGACTGATGGCAGAGTGAAGGATCAACTGGTGGGGTTTGAAGTAAGGAGGGTCACTGACTGAAGCTTTCTGAAGTAATCTAGCCAATAAACCAGATGGATCTCACAGCAGGGCAGGAATATCTAAAGGAGACTGAGAAGAGGATTTATAGGGGTAGAATCGAAGGCTAATGAGATGTTGGAGGTAAGCAAGGCCCAGATGTCTAACTTCAGTGAACTGCAATGCTATAAGCTGGAGGATGACCAGTTTTGGGGAATGTGGTGGGGAAAGTGATGAGGTTAGTTTGAACATGGAGAATGTGTGGTATTAGAGTAGATGTTGTATCTGTGGGGGGTAGGGGGAAAAAAGACAGAATGGCAGACAGGCAATGACAGAGCAGCTGCCCTGGAAGTCAGGCAGAAAGCCAAAAAAAGGGAAGAAGACAGCTCTATGAGTGACAAAAGCAGCAATGAGCTAGCCAGGCAGCAGACATCTGAGAAACACAGTAGGCAGGAGTAGGTGGGTGCTGATGAGTAGAAAACTGATACATACCACCAGGGGAGGGTGGAGTAGGAACAGCACTCTGAAGAGTTGCCAGTGAGAGAAATCAGCTTGAAAAACTGGCAAGCTTCTGAAGAAGTCCTAGAACACCAGATATCAACTTTCATTATATGTCTTCTCTTGAGAAAGGCAATGTGATAGAGAAGTCCAAAACAAGAGAAGAGACCTTCCCCAACATTAGTGAAACTAAGGCACTGGAGAGCAGCTCACTTGCATAGACAACATTATATAGAGAATGAAACTAGACTACTAAGGCTGTGAAATAGATTCTTAACTTCTACTGCTTCTAAGTTCCACCTAAAACAAGATTCAGTTGGGGACCTTGAAAGAGATGAGTCTGGAGGCAAAAGAGTCAGTCAGATTACTACAATAAACAAATACACAAAATAGAATTTGGTATAGGTTTATATTGCAGATTAACACAAAGAACAATATGAAAATTTATTTGTTCTGCTTAAAGCACAACTTGGAACAAACTACTTGATACATGAAACCAAAGTATAGTACAGATTATCTGCATAAAGTAAAAAATAAAAACAAACCAGTGACAATTTTGAAAAAGAACAAAAAAAGGGGAGAAATCTATCTACTCAGTGTTAAGGCTTACTATATAGCTACCATATTTAAGACAGTATTAGCAGAGGAATAGACACATAGATCAATGGAGTAAAATATAGAACCAGTAACAGACTCACATAAATATGCCCAAATAAAAGTTGCAAAAGCAATTCAATGGACAGCCTTTTCATCAAATGGTACTCAGAAAACTGTATATCTACACGTGAAACAATAACGCTGGACCCCTCCCTTATACCACTTGCAAAAATTAACTAAAAATGGGTCGAAAACCTAAATTTAAGTCCTAAAACTATAAAACTCAGAAGGAAACAGAGGGCAAAGCTTCATGACTTTGGATTTGGCAAAAATTTCTTGGATATAACACCAAAAGCACAAGCAACAAAACAAAACACAGACTAAGCAGGACCTCATCAATATTAAAAACTTCTGTGAATCAAGGATACTATAACAGAATGAAAAAGCAATCCATGGATGGGAAAAAATGTATGCCAATCACATATCCAATAAGGAACCGAAATGCAGAATATACAAAGAGCTCCTACAACTCAACAACAACAAAAACAACCTAATTTTTAAAATGGGCAAAGGGGCCAGGTGTGGTGGCTCATGCCTGTAATCCCAGCACTTTGGGAGGCCGAGGTGGGAGAATGACTTGAGCTCAGAAGTTCAAGACCAGCCTGGCCAACACAGTGAGACCTCATCTCTACAAAATACATTTAAAAGTTAGCTGGGGGCCAGGTGTGGTGGCGCACGCCTGTAATCCCAGCCCTTTGGGAGGTCAAGGTGGGTGGATCACCTGAGGTCAGGAGTTCGAGCCCAGCCTGGCCAACATGGTGAAACCCCATCTCTACTAAAAATACAAAAAATTAGCCAGGCGTGGTGGCGGGCGCCTGTAATCCCAGCTACTCAGGAGGCTGAGGCAGGAAAATCACTTGAACCCAGGAAGAGGAGGTTGCAGTGAGCCAAGATCATGCCATTGCACTCCAGCCTGGGCAACAAGAGCAAAACTCTCAAAAAAAAAAAAAAAAAAAAAGTTAGCCGGGTATGGTGGCACATGCCTGTAGACGTAGCTACATGGAAGGCTGAGGCAGGAGGATTGCTTGGGTCCAGGAGTTTGAGGTTACAGTGAGATACGAATGGTGCCACTGCACTACAGCTTGGGAGACAGCTTGTCTCTAAAAAAAAAAAAAAATAGTAAAAACAAAACAAAACAAAACCCTGGCTGTGCATGGTGGCTCACCCCTGTAATCCCAACACTTTGGGAGGCCAAGGTGGATGGATCGTGGACCAGCCTGGCCAACACAGTGAAACCCCATCTCTACTAAAAATACAAAAACTAGCTGGGTGTGGTGGCGGGCGCCTGTAGTCCCAGCCACTTGGAAGTCTGAGGCAGGAGAAGTGCTTGAACCCAGGAGACGGAGGTTGAGGTGAGCCGAGATCACGTCACTACACTCCAGCCAGGGCAACACAGCAAGATTCTGTCTCAAAAAAAAAAAACAAAACACCAAAAAACCTATTTCATACCCATTAGGATGGCTATTGTTTAAAAATAAAAAATGGCCAGGCATAGTGGCTCACGCCTGTAATCCCAGCACTTCGGGAGGCTGAGGCGGGTGAATCACAAGGTCCGGAGATCGAGACCATCCTGATTAACACAGTGAAACCCCACCTCTACTAAAAATACAAAAAATTAGCCAGGCGTGGTAACGCGCGCCTGTAGTCCCAGCTACTCGGAGGCTGAGGCAGGAGAATCGCTTGAACCCGGGGGGCAGAGGTTGCAGTGAGCCGAGATTGCGCCACTACACTTCAGCCTGGGTGACAGAGTGAGACTCTGCCTCAAAAAAAAAATAAATAAATAAAATAAAAAACCCCAAAATAAAAAAAATCCAGAAAACAACAAGGGTTGGCAAGAATGTTAACAAATTGGAACCCTGAACACTGCTGGTTGGAATGTAAATGGTACCACTACTATAGAAATCAGTATGGCAATTCCTCAAAAAACTAAATACAGTATTAACATATGACCCAGCAATTCTACTTTTGGGAACATACTCAAAAGAATTGAAAGCAGGAACTCGAACAGATATTTATACAACAACATTCACAGCAGCATTATTCACAATAGCCAAAAGGAGGAAGCAACTTAAATGTCCATCAACAGATGAATGGATAAAATGTGGTATATACATAGGATGGAATGTTAGCCTTAAAAAGGAAGGAAATTCTGACACATGCTACCACATGGATGAAACTTGAAGACATTATACTAATAAGCCAGTCACAAAATGAAAATATTGTATGACTCCACTTATATGAAGTACTTAGAGCAGTCAAACTCATAGAGAAGGAAAACAGAACGATGGTTGCCAGGGGCTGGAGTAAGGGGGAATGAGAAGTTAGTGTTTAAATGGGTACAGAATTTCAGTCAGGGAGGATGAAAAAGTTCCAGAGATGGATGGCGGTGATGGTTGCACAACAATGTGACTATGCTTAATACCACAAAACTGTATACTTACAAAGAGTTAAAATGTTAAATTTTGTATTATGTGTATATTTTAACTACAATTTTTTTTAAAAGACATGAGAATAACAAACTAAATCACAGGCTGGGAAAAAATTTTGCAAAAAATATATCTGACAAAGGATTGGTATCCAGATATATAAAGAACTCTCAAAGCTCAACAGTAAGAAAATAAGTATTCCAACAAAATAATGGGCAAAATATTTGAACAGATATTTTTATCAAAGAAGATATATGAAAGGGAAATAAGCACATGAAAGATGCTGCAAACTATTAATCATTAGGAAAATAAAAAGTAAAACATAAAATACCAGTATATGCCCACTAAAGTGACTAAAATTAAAAGATCAGCTATACCAAGTGCTGTCAAGGATATGGAGCAATCAGTACCCTCAGACATTGTTGTTGCAAATATAAAATGGTACAACCATTTTGGAGTATCATTTGACAGTTTTTTTTTTTTCTTTTTTTGAGATGGAGTCTCGCTCTGTCACCAGGCTGGAGTGCCGTGGTGCAATCTTGGCTCACCGCAACCTCTGCCTCCTGGGTTCAAGAGATTCCCTGCCTCAGTCTCCTGAGTAGCTGGGATTACAGGCACGCACCACCATGCCCAGCTAATTTTTCTACTTTTAGTAGAGAGGGGGTTTCACCTCAATCTCTTGACCTCGTGATCCGCCTGCCTTGGCCTCCCAAAGTGCTGGGATTACAGGCATGAGCCACCGCGCCCAGCCTTAAAACAGATTTTATTGTTATTCAAATATGATGAGGCCAACAGATCACAAGATGATTGCCGCTGACAAGACAGTTACTCGCAGTTCCGAAGAGGAAGGTGCACACCATGCCATGCAGGGGCCACATGAGGAAGCACTAGCTAGGGTCAGTAAGGAGGTCAATGGAATGGGATGAAAACATGGGCAAGAGCCTTTATGTGGTTTCAGCGGAAGGAATGGGCAAGGCAGGGTAAGCATGTTTAGGACTGGCTAGTTTGAATAATTTCAGTGAGTTCTGCAGCATAGGGATGTCCCGAGTTTCCTGGTACCTGATCTTGAAATGAACAGGGCAGGTGGATTGTAGCAGAGAGGTGTCAAAGTCCTATGAGAGCGACATAAAGGAGGCAGCTAGATTATGAGTGAGTTATTCACTGTCTCTAGGAATTGGCTAGCCCTGACAAAGGATCAGAAACACATAGTTGCTGGGCGCAGTGGCTCCTGCCTGTAATCCCAGCGCTTTGGGAGGCTGAGGTGGGCGGATCACGAGGTCAGGAGATCGAGACCATCCTGGCTAACATGGTGAAACCCCGTCTCTACTAAAAATACAAAAACTAGCTGGGCGTGGTGGCGGGCACGCCTGGAGTCCCAGCTACTCGGGAGGCAGAGGTAGGAGAATGGTGTGAACCCCGGAGTCGGAGCTGGCAGTAAGCCGAGATCGCCCCACTGCACTTTAGCCTGGGTGACAAAGCGAGACTCCGTCTAAAAAAAAAAGAAAGAAAGAAAGAAACAAACAAACAAACAAACACATGGTTAATACTATACTACATGATTTCACTTGTATAAAACTCTAGAAAATACAATCTAATCTATAGTGGCAGAAAACAGACCAATGGTTGCTTAAGGATGAGGGAGTGGGCAGGGGCAAGAGGCAGTGATTATAAAAGACACAAGAAAACTTTGGGGAGAGATTATATGTTCACACTCTTGTTGTGGTGATATTTCCCTGCTATATACATGGATCAAAATGTAATAAATTTTACACTTTAAATGTGTACAGGTTATTGTTACATCAATTATAAAGTTGTTTAAGAATTATAGGAATAATCAATGAAAAGAAATACAATGAAAAGAATTTCATTTTATTGTATAATAAAAATGAAACAAAGCCAAAAGTAGTTATTTGATAAATTAACAAACAGGTAAAAAGAGAAGACACAAGTAAATTTTTTTTTTTTTTGAGATGGAGTCTCGCTCTGTCGCCCAGGCTGGAGTGCAGTGGTGCGATCTCGGCTCACTGCAACCTCCGCCTCCTGGGTTCACGCCATTCTCCTGCCTCAGCCTTCTGAGTAGCTGGGACTACAGGTGCCTGCCACCACGCCCGGCTAATTTTTTTTTTTGTATTTTTAGTAGAGACGGGGTTTCACCATGATGGCCAGGATGGTCTCGATCTCTTGACCTCGTGATCCGCCCGCCTCGGCCTCCCAAAGTGCTGGGATTACAGGTGTGAGCCACGACGCCTGGCCCACAAGTTAATATTATAAATCAAATGTGGAAATAATTACAGAAGTAGCAGATAAAAAACAGATTATCCACAATTATAGGCAAATAAAACTAAGAAAAATGAACGAATCTCTAGAAAAAGAATAAAAAACTAGCCCAGGAAGAACAAAAGACCTGAATATTCTTACAATTAAAGAGGTTGACCACAAGTTCAAATTTGTCCCACATAAAAAACACTGGACCCAGATGCTATTATAGGTGAGAAAACAAGAGTGACTAGTTCCCAGCTCATTCTAAGGAGAGAGCAAAACCAGGCACCAAAACTGGACAGAAACATTACAAGAAAGAAAATCACAGGCTCACTTTTACACAATAATATATATTCAAAAATCATAACAAAGTATCAACAAATTGAATCTAGCATATAAAAAAGATAAATCATGATCCAGTTGAGTTTATCCAAGATATACAAGGATATTTTAACATAAAATCTATAAATATAATTCACCCATATTAAAAGAGTTCATACAACCATTTCAACTGATGTAGAAAATGCATTAGATAAAAACATATGAATTCAAGATTTTAAAAAATCCTTTTAAATAGAAATAGAAGAAACCTTCCTTAACCTGATAAAAGTTACTATTTAAAAAAAAAAACAATACGCAATTATCTTCAACAGAGAGAAACGGAAAGCATTCCTTTGAAAATCAGAAATAAAGTAATCTACTATCACTTCTATTCAGTATTGTATGAAAAGTCTGCCTTCGCAACAAGAAAAGAAATTTGGCCAGGCACAGTGGCTCATGCCACTGTAATGGCACTTTGGGAGGCTGAGATGGGAGGATTGCTTGAGCCCAGGAGTTCAAGACCAGGCTGGACAACATAGCAAAACCTTGTCTCTACGAAAAATTTTAAAAAGAAAAAGAAATTAAAATTATAACAATTAGAAAGGAGACTAATACTTGCAGAAAATCTGATTGTTTACATAGAAAACCTACGAGAATTTAGGCCAGGCATGGTGACAAAGCGAGAAAACATCTGAAAATAAAAAAATTAAAAAAAAAAAAAAGAAAATCTACAAGAATCCATAGGAAGTAAGTTATTGGAAATAACAGGGTAACTTTGTCAAGGTGATTAGATAGGTAATTTTTATACCCTAGCAAAAATAGCCACTGATTTGCACTCAAGAAAGGGTCTATTAGGTTAGGCAAGAACTAATCATGTGTAAATACTGATAAGGAATCAGATGGGAAGGAAGGGAAGGTACATAAGAAAGGCAAAAGTGGGAGAAGTTGTAGAAAAGTGAGAGAACTGAAATCTGACATCTTAAAGATTTCCCCATAAGTATGCAGCAAGATCACAGGCAAAGAGAGAAGGGGGAGATAGTGGGATATGGTTTTTTATTTTTATTTACTTTTTTTTTTTGAGACGGAGTCTCGCTCTGTCACCCAGGCTGGAGTGCAGTGGTGCAATCTCGGCTCACTGCAAGCTCCGCCTCCCGGGTTCACGCCATTCTCCTGCCTCAGCCTCCCCAGCAGCTGGGACTACAGGTGCCCGCCACCACGCCCAGCTAATTTTTTTCTATTTTTAGTACAGACAGGGTTTCACTGTGTTAGCCAGGATGGTCTTGATCTCCTGACCTTGTGATCCGCCCACCTTGGCCTCCCAAAGTGCTGGGATTCCAGGCGTGAGCCACCGTGCCTGGTGGTTTTTTAAAGTATTAAGAATAATACTGGTGCTATAGAAAATGGCGGGAAGTGCTGACACCAGGCAGCCCAGCAGTCCTGAGGGCCCAGGTGAGATAAGATCCATTTTTCCAGGATTCTTTTCTGAAAAAATGCTCTAAGCACTAATGGTATGGCAAACATACAGAATTAAGGTTTTGCTAGATGAATGTAATGAAACTATAAGCAACGAGGTTGAGTACTGGGAAGAGAATGGATGAACTGCTGAACCACAGAGTCTAGCATTGACAGGAAACTAAAGCAGATACTAGAGACATTAGAGAAAATAAAAAACTTAAGTGGCTAAAACCCCAAAAGTTGAGAATATTTTATAGTGGGAATAACATAGTAGGTAAACTGGAAGGCTCCAAGAAGCTAATTTCACCAGAATTTTTTGGAGCCTATTGTAGTTGATGGGCTATAGTCCTTGAAAAATCAACACATATCACTAATTTTAAATACCATTCCCTTGACATGTATCGGTCTCAGTAAAATGCAAATCCTTTACTATGCACCCCCACCCCAGATTATGCCATAAGCAGCTTGCTAAGTAGCCCTTCAGAATTCCATGTTTCCTTTCTTCCTCTATTCTTGTAGAAAAAACTTAAAAAACTATTTCAGTACTTACTAGCTTCTTTTAAAAAGTTAATTATGCTCTTTGAACATGTGTCCTAGAAAAAAAGAAATAAAAAACAGTTAATTAGGAGTATCTAGGTTATGTGAAGCATTCATCAACCTCCTATTGACAGAAATTATCGATAGGCAAATTTTATATATAAGTAACTTTAACATGAACACTTCTTAAACTTTGGCCTCATAATTTCACAAAAATTAGGCTGCAAGTCACCATATTCATCAGATACTGGCAGACACTAACTTCTGCGGCTATGACACCAAGCAATACTGAAATCTCTTATCTTTCCAGGGGGGTTGTTCATGTATTCAGTGTTTGCAAAGAGTTCCTGCTGAGCTAAACACAGTCCACTGTGCACTCTACGAAAGAGTCCATGAGACAAGCATGGGGGAGGGTAGGAAGTTTAATACTTTCACAATGCCTGTGGAGACGCTGGCAGTGATGAAAGCCTAGAAAACTCATGAAAGGACCTTTTATGAGCAGGGTGAATGTAGAGCACAAAAGCAAAGTCAGATGACCCACTTAAAGCTTTGCCTTTACTGATGAGAATTCATTCTCATTCCAGATTAGTCTCTCTCTAGAAAAAGCAAACCTTATATAAGAGTTGGAAAATTAAGATACAGGAAGTATAATTCTACTAAATTCCAGTTTTTCCTTCTCAAATATCAGCCTAAGTCCTAAGGTCTGTGGCCAAAGACAGAAAATACAAGGCGCTGAGAAATATGCTATTTATCTTGGTGTAACAATCTCTGACTGTTGGGGTTTGAGGAAATTTAAGCTCTACAATCCATAGATCAGACCAGAAGTTTAGGGTAGTAATATTATGAGAGGAAATAGTTTCTTTCTGGAACTTATATAAAGCAAATAAATGGTAAACCTGATTTGCAAGGTAATGACAGTCCAAGTTCCTTCAAAGCAGAGAACCACTTATTTGCTCATTCATTCAACTAAGTTCCTTGTCTTGTGCCAGGCTGGAGAGAGAAAGCAGCTCCTGTCCTCAAGGAGCTCACATCTCAGGCATCTTCTCACCCTCCTTTCTCATGTTAACCAAAACATTTCAGGTTCATCAATGAAACTCTTCATCCAGGAGGCAGATAAAATGGCTTCTCTTCATTTTGATTCATTTACTCTTTCTTTTATTTATTTTATTATTATTATTTTTTTTTTTTCTGAGAAGGAGTCTCGCTCTGTTGCCCAGGCTGGAGTGCAGTGGCGTGATCTCGGCTCACTGCAACCTCTGCCTCCCGGGTTCAAGCGATTCTCCTGCCTCAGCCTCCCAAGTAGCTGGGATTACAGGCATGCGCCACCACGCCCGGCTAATTTTTGTAATTTTAGTAGAGATGGGGTTTCACCATGTTGGTCAGGCTGGTGTCAAACTCCTGACCTTGTGATCCGCCTGCCTCAGCCTCCCAAAGTGCTGGGATTACAGGTGTGAGCCACCATGCCCGGCCTACTCTTTCTTTTAAACAGAGAAATAAGATGGAATATTTTTATCCCATCTTTTCTTCTGTAATTAAAAAAGGAATACGAAGAAACTTGACATAGTCTCTCTCCTCATGTGCTCTCTTACTTCCCATCCCAATTCCATGTTTGCTCTCTTTTTCCTCTCTCCTTCTGTTTTGTTGTGAATGAAGAATTAGGTAACTAGTCCAAAACTACAGAGCTACACCTGGAGCCTAGATTCACTGGTAGCCAAATCACTAATTTTTCTGAAGGTAAATGGGAGAAAAATGGGGGTTGGGGGGAAAGCTCATTAATACAGTTCTAAGTCAATCTCAACTCCCCACTGCGCAACCTCCCCTCCCTCCTCCCACATACTTTTTTGGTTGTCATCTAGTCTTCACACTGGTAACTGCTTCTGCCTGGCGGTTTCTGTTCTAAGCCCTCTTAGTTTTTGGCTTAAACAAAACCTGTCCCTGCTAATTATGGTAGACCCATTCTTATCCCCTGTGTAGTCCAAATATTCACAACCATAGCAGCCTACTCATTGCTTTCATAGAACTTAATATATTTATTAATTACTTAGCTATATAAATATATCTATCTTAAAGATATAGATATATATATATACACACACGCATATATATATTGAGATGGAGTCTCACTCTGTCACCCAGGCTGGATTACAGTGGCACAATCTCAGCTCACTGCAACCTCTACCTCCCGGGCTTGAGTGACTGTCATGCCGCAGCCTCTCGAGTAGCTGGGATTACAGGCACCTGCCACCACGTCTGGCTAATTTTTGTATTTTCAGAAGAGACAGGGTTTCACCATGTTGGCAAGGCTGGCCTCAAACTCCTGACCTCAAGTGATCCACCTGCCTTGACTTCATAAAGTGCTGGGATTACAGGTGTAAGCCACTGTACCCGGCCTATAATAAATAAATAAATAAATATTTATTTATTTACACACACACACACACACACACACACACACCTGCCAATTATAATCAAGCTCCGTGCTCCATACAGACCAAAGAGAGGTCTGCTCTGCTCACAAGACCTACCCAACATCTAGCAAAGTACTCCACACATAATAGGTATATTAGGTAGTGAAATGAAGTTGACCACCCCTGTAGGGACTACAGCCCTGCTTAAAAGCAAATCAGTCCCTGAAACTGAATTAAAATGATTGAAGACTCCTAGGCAAAGCTAGAAACAAACGTAAATCCTCTCTTGAAAAATATATCATAGGTCTCAGGTCATTTCTATAAATAATTTTAAAACTACAGTGTCTAGTCCATAAAAAGGCAACATGAGAATCAGTAAGAAACAGACAAGAAGAACAGTCCTGTAGCATTAAGAATTTTAGTCAAGAATGGTATAAAAATGTAATAGCAGATCTGAAAAAAAGATCTTAATGGATAAATTTAAGAACAGGTAAAATATACCTGAAG